>NC_000009.12:108069036-108220552 GCF_000001405.40 Homo sapiens
GCTATCTATGACAAACCCACAGCCAATATCATACTGAATGGACAAAACCTGGAACCATTCCCTTTGAAAACTGGCACAAGACAGGGATGCCCTCTCTCACCACTCCTATTCAACATAGTGTTGGAAGTTCTGGCCAGGGCAATCAGGCAGGAGAAGGAAATAAAGGGCATTCAATCAGGAAAACAGGAAGTCAAATTGTCCCTGTTTGCAGATGACATGATTGTATATCTAGAAAACCCCATTGTCTCAGCCCAAAATCTCCTTAAGCTGGTGAGCAACTTCAGCAAAGTCTCAGGATGCAAAATCAATGTGCAAAAATCACAAGCATTCTTATACACCAATAACAGACAGAGAGCCAAATCATGAGTGAACTCCCATTCACAATTGCTTCAAAGAGAATAAAATACCTAGGAATCCAACTTACAAAGGACGTGAAGGACCTCTTCAAGGAGAACTACAAACCACTGCTCAATGAAATAAAAGAGGATACAAACAAATGGAAGAACATTCCATGCTCCTGGGTAGGAAGAATCAATATCGTGAAAATGGCCATACTGCCCAAGGTAATTTATAGATTCACTGCCATCCCCATCAAGCTACCAACGACGTTCTTCAAAGAATTGGAAAAAACTACTTTAAAGTTCATATGGAATCATCAGTCTTGTTTTCTTACAGGTCTCCCTTATTGAATGAATTAATGAATGAATGAATGAATGAATGAATTCTCCTTAGAACTAGATTTTATGCTACCTCCTGTTGAACTAGGAGCTCCTCTGAACACTACTTGAAACAAAACAAAATATAATAAAAAGTATTCTAAGGTTTCATCTTAGAACAGTCTGGAGATTCTAAGATACACCAGTGCCCAAGATCCATCCTAGAGCTATGAAAACAGAATCGTTAGGAGTGGGGTTTATGTATGGTTATTTTTAAAATAACCACTCCACTGTGATTTTTTTTTCTGAGAATTTTTAAAATTCTCCACTCCCCAGGTGATTCCAGAGTTCTTCTGTAATTGGGAACCACTTCTCTAAGCTTGTGAGAGCTCTTTCACCATCATGGAGAAGAAAAGCCATGGCTTTGGAGTGAGAAGCACGGGTTGGATTCCTCTCTCTCCTCCAAGAAATTGAAGAAGTCATTCAATCTGAGCTTCAGACCTTCCTCTTTCAACTGTGATTTAGCACTTTTCTCATAGGGCTTTTGGAAAAATTAAAGGACATCAAATATGGGAAGCAACTGATGCAGCCTGACACCTAGTAAGCATTCAGTAAGTTGGAATTTCTGTCTTTTTTTCTCACATTCTTCCTCCATAAATCCAGGGAGAACTTCTATAGGGAAACAAGTATAGGGGTATCCTCTGATAACCTCAGTGCCTCCCTGCAGCTGGTAGACCTGCACACATAGTCTGCTTATCTCCAGGTCTCCAAATGCTGTTCCCAGCACTGGCCAGCACCTCTTCTGGGCAGCTTATGCCCCAGCCTGGACTCCTTGTCCCCAGGCTTACAAAATTCCAATCCCTCTTGCCCTGTACCAAGGGGGGAGCAATGGGGTGGCCCTCTTCCAGAGCAATGGTCCCCAACCTTTTTGGCACCAGGGACTGGTTTAGTGGAAGACAATTTTTCTGTGGACCAGGGAGAAGGATGGTTTTGGGATGATTCAAGCACATTACATTTATTATGTACTTTATTCCTATTATTATGACATTGTAATATATAATAAAATAGTTATACAATTCACCATAATGCAGAATCAGTGGGGACCCTGAGCTTGTTTTCCTGCAACTAGATGGTCCCATGTGGAGTTGATGGGAGGCAGTGACAGATCATCAGGCATTAGATTCTCAGATTCTCATAAGGAGCATGCAACCTAGATCCCTCAAAGGAACAGTTCATGATAGGACTTGCGCTCCTATGAGAATCTAGTGCACTTCTGATCTCACAGAAGATGGAGCTCAGGTGGTAATGTGAGTGATGGGGAGTGGCTATTAATACAGATGAAGCTTCACTTGCTTGCCTGCCGCTCACCTGCTATGTGGCCCAGTTCCTAATAGGACACGGACCAGTGCCAGTCGGTGGCCTGGGAGTTGCGGACCCCCATTCTACAGTATAACTCTGCAGCATGTTCAGCTCTGCCCTGGCACAGACCACTTTGCATTCCTGCAGCCTGCTGATGCTTCTGCCTGTGAGTTCCAGTCTTTACCAAGCAATGCTAGCTGGAGTTTGCCAGAAATTCTAAGCTGATACCATCTTTCCAAGAGATTCCCAGGGATCTTTATTTTAATTCCTCTGCTACTAGCATGAGTTCTGAAGAACAATTGTTCAGTTGTTGTCACTACCCCACTCTCCTATGGACATCAAGCCACAGATTTTCTTCCACTTGAGCTATATGTAAAAACCTCTTGAGTTGCATTTAGGAGTTTGTCCTTCACGGCATCGCTGTCTTCAGGATAGTACTCACATCCCATTGGAGAAAGAAAAACAAAAGCATTTTCCCTCCCACTATTCAGGAACGCCTCATGGTACTGGGAAACTCCCAGGCTAATTTTCCCATTGTGTATACAACACCTTACAGTTTATAGATGCTTTCATAGTCTTAACTTTCTGTGATCTTCTCCAAGAATGCTACTGAGATAACAGGAAAGAGATTATCATTAGATCTTCATTTCACCAACGAAAACTGAAGTTCAGAGTCAGACTTCAAAACTAGGTTCCTTCTCACCAAACTAAGCACAAAATCACACAAATGTACTTTACATGTTTTTGGAATGAATCCTGGGTTTTGTTTATACACAGTTATGTCAATAGGCTGTAACTCCTAAATGATTCAGTTGAAACTAGCTCAATAGACATGTCTCATTATTACTCTTAATAACAAAAAATGCCACAACCTGGATTGATGTAGCTGAAAAGGTAAAGGAAGCAGGACTGTCTACTCCTGTGCTCCCCAAAGCATGGCCATTGTGCAGGCTGTTCTAGATAGGGTATTTGTCAACAAAAATTTCCAGGAAATGAATGGGCACTGTATCTTTTTATTTGGATATCAGAAAGAATTTCTCCTCTACAGTAATTTCTCCCCTGGCTAGGTTTTGGGGATTAAATCATTCCCCCATTTACAAGAGCCCTGTGGCTCTCCTAGGCTGTAGCTCCATTTGGAGTGAAATGAACCAACGCTCCTTACCCAAGCCACAGCTCTTCGGGCTTGAAACCGTAGACTCTTTTTCAGTAAGACAAGTGAGTAGGGATTCCTGGGGCCCTGGAAAGTACTTCACTTTCCCAACTTTAACTATCAGAGGATTTGGGCTGGATCTCTGGTACTGCATAAGTTGAAAGAGAGAGAGATAAATTCTTTTTTTTTTTTTTTTTTTTGAGACAGAGTCTCGCTCTGTTGCCCAGGCTGGAGTGCAGTGGCTCGATCTCGGCTCACTGCAAGCTCCGCCTCCAGGGTTCATGCCATTCTCCTGCCTCAGCCTCCCGAGTAGCTGGGACTACAGGTGCCCACCACCATGCCCGGCTAATATTTTGTATTTTTAGTAGAGACGGGGTTTCGCTGTGTTAGCCAGTATGGTCTAGATCTCCTAACCTCGTGATCCGCCCGCCTCGGCCTCCCAAAGTGCTGGGATTACAGGCATGAGCCACCACACCCAGCTGAGAAATTCATTCTTTTGGAGATCTCTGAGCTCCTGCCTTATTAACCGTCTGCTGACAATCAACAGATCCTTCAGAGGCATGACTTAGATCTGAGAGCCTCTCAACTTTCCTGTGTCCTGATGTCACAGCCCACTTAGAAAGCCAAGTCCAAGGGGTATGAAAATTGACAACACCCCAGCTGCCCCTGAGATGATTCCTCAAGGAGATCTTTGCCAGGTTGTTACTGATAAAGAAGACAGATGACTGATCATGTGACTCATTTGTCACCAATGACCCCATCTGGTGCACAAGAACTGGGTACAAAAGGAGGGCTGATTGTGCGGCGAGGACCGCCACTAACTACACGGGCACCATCAGCCATCCACCTGTTCACGTCATTAACGTCATGATGCTCTCTGAAGGAGGCTGTGGTATTCCCATTTCACAAATACTGAGGGAGGTTAAACACACACACACACACACACACACACACACAAAATCACACATCTTGCAACCTATTTTTAGCTCCAAAAGCCACTCATCCAGGCTGGAGTGCCGTGGTGTGATCTCGGCTCACTGCAACCTCCACCTCCTCGATTCAAGCAATTCTCCTGCCTCAGCCTCCTGATCAGCTGGGACTACAGGCATGCACCACCACACCTGGCTAATTTTTGTGTTTTTTTAGTAGAGACGAGGTTTCACCATTTGGCCAGGCTGGTCTCGAACTTCTGACCTCAGGTGATCTGCCTGCTTCAGCCTCCCACAGTTCTGGGATTACAGGAGTGAGCCACCACCCCAGCCAGATTCAAAATCTTTTATTGCCTCTAGGAATTGTGAGGCAATTCTTGGCTATTGTGCTTCTACTCCACAGTTAAGGACATCCCCAGGGACTCCTGAACTGACAAATGACAATGAGAAATTGACTAGGAACAATTGTTTTTTTCTTCGCTTTAAAAAGAAGCAATAACCAATACAACACCTCCTTGGGGATCAAAATCTCAAAATTTTGGTATCGATTGGTAAAGCATCCACAATGCAACTCCTTCTTGTTATCTCTTTTTGGGTTCTAGTTGTTTCCTTTCTTCTTTGTCCATGCAAAAGAGGATGGCAGGAAGGGAGCATGAGAGTCCTTGCCGAATCTGCTTCCGGGGTTGCTGTGTGGATTACACAGGCAGACAGGTGTGAATACGTCTGCAAACATCACAGCACTCTACAGATGCCATTTATGAGCAGAAGGCATGCTTTTTTAATGCAAAAACTTGGGTGTCTCCTCTGAGCTCCCCAGCCTGGGTGAAACCATTCTGGAATCTTCTGTGTTTCACTCCACCAGAGCACTGTTACTGCATTACTTTCATTTCCCTACTTGCGAGAAAACAATGTAATGAACGGATCCTTGAAACCACGGTGCGGTACAGGGCAGGCAGTGAGAGATAAAGATGGGCAGAAGAAATGTGCATATGAAATGTGCAAACGGGAAGGACTCTCCCCTTTCCTGGTCCAGCCTGGGAGGGCTTTTCTCATCAGACTGGTCAGGGGAGATCAAACAGTCCTTCACTGGACAAGGCCCTGAGTCAACATCACAGTGGAAAAGGGTCTCACCCCTGCAAGTTTCCTTCTGCATGCAGCATGAAGGAGGGGGGTACCCTTTAGGGGTTTCCATTTCTGCTTTCCTCAGTCAGTGGGCTCTGAAATCCAAAGGCTTCTGTGTTGCAGGACAACTTTGGTTACAACTTAGGATAGGGGCATGCCAGAGGCAGCTCCTATTGGAGTGAGCAAGAGAGAAAGAGAGAGAATTGTTACATTTTTAGTTTTGGTAGCCAATTGATGTCACATTGATATCTCAAAATTGGTTATGGTTGGCAGTATTTACACAAGGGAAATTGGTAAGTACTACAACTAAGATCTTTTTTTTTCCTTTTCCTCCAGAGACCTGGTTGTTAAATATTTACCAACAAACCATTGGCTTAAAGTTGCATTAAAGTGTAGAACCCCAAATTTTGCTCATGCTTTCTCGATTATATTCTCTTTTCCCCTCTTCCCAAGGTGCTTTTGAATTCTACCCTTCTATTTGCTCTTGGTGTGTACTTCTAGAGAAATGCTAAGGTTACATTCACAGAGGTCAAAGTGGTATGAATAAATAGACCGTTTATTTGTACAGAACCCTTATATTGTTTGAAGTGATGTCACGTGTATTTTTTTTATTTTTGATCTGCACCACAACCCTGAGAAAGACAGAGTTAGTACACTTATTTACAATTTGCAGATGGGAAAACTGCAGTTCAAAGTGTCTGCATGGGAGTGATGGGCCCAGGCAAGGAGGAGGGCCAGGGGATCCTCCCCACCACCTTGCTGCCCCTAAAAGTCAATGAAGCACCACTAGACAAAGCACCCACCATTCCCAGACCAGACTGTGGCCGGCCGGGAAAAACCAAACTGCAGCGAGTGCACAAACGGCTTTTATGTGGTTTGAGGCTACATTCTGTGATTCTTTATGTAGAAGCAAATTGTCCTTTTAATTATTATGTGGGCTGAACTGAAATAGATGCACATTCCTTGAGCCACCGGCAGCAGCCAGAGTGGCCCAGGTGTTCAGAGTGAAGATCTGCCAAGTTTCAAATTTGATGCTTATAATTGGGAGTGGTATCTGTTTCTATGCAGAAAGTGTTTGCTTTTCTTAAACTAAAGCCTTTGGAATATTGTAAATGGGAAACACAATGGAATGGTCATGGAGTTCATGGTATATTCCATTAGGAGAGAGTTGGGGACAAGGTCCTGGTGGGCAGTGGGTGTTCACTGACATATTAAAGGTTCCAATCCTGTGGCCTTGATCCACTTCAGGTACATGAATCTTACAACTGTTGCCAAAGGGTAAGATCATTTTGAATGGCTGGGACTGTTATCTTTTAAAAATACATTCATATAGTCTCATATGAGTTTGTTGCAGGGAAGCACGTTGGCCTGTACAGAATTGGAGTTTTCAGACAGTCAAAGCAAAGAAAAAAACAGGCCCCTAGCATGCATTCTTCTTTGTTCTTCTGCCTTGGAACTAGGGAGACAGCATTGATTCTGGGCTCTTGCAGAGATACTCTGCAGACAGATCCGTCCCCACCCTCCCTAATTGCTGCCCAGGCTCAGGTGATCACCAACACCCATTCCTTTGTTCCTCCCTAAATATTTTCCCACAAACCAAGCCCCGGGGCCATCTCCTCTTTTTCTGTCCCCAAAAACTAGGGCCCTCTGATGCCCCACCTCCTCGGCATGTCCCCCAGACAACTTGAAAAGGAGGCCTACGTTCATCCTAATTGCTGCAGGACCCACAGAACAAAGCTTCCTATCGCCCTCCTGGGGGACCTGGTCAGATTCATGGAATTCCCAGAGTGGGTGTTGTTGCCTCCCCTGGCACCCCTTCCCTCCTCTTGTCATAACGTCACAAAAATTATTCTTTAGGGAGATTCTACACCTCCATTTCACACTATCATTGTGGGACTGTGAGTCAGTCTTGGTGGGATTTTTTGATCAAGAGGTTCTCTCCTCTTTCGGCCAATGGGAGACACTTGACTCAGTCTCAACCCCTCAGACTCTTTCGCAGAAATTCTGAGCACAGTGCCGCAAGGTGGAAGGCAACGAGGGCTAGCGCATCCCAGGGCTGAGATGGGAGAAGCTTGTTCCCTGATTTCTGCGACTTAAATCTTCAGGGCTGCCCCACATCCTCTTTTATCTCTCAATTGCCTTTTCTGTGAACTAACTTATCTTCCAATACATTTTCTTTTCTTTTCTTTGGAGACAAAGTTTCGCTCTGGTGATCCAGGCTGATGTGCAATGGCATGATTTCGGCTCACTGCAACATCCACCTCCCGGGCTTAAGCAATTCTCCTGCCTCAGCCTCCTGAGTAGCTGGGATTACAGGTGCCCAGCACCATGCCTGGCTAATTTCTGTATTTTCAGTAGAGACGGGGTTTCATCACATTGGCCAGGCTGGATCTCAAGCTCCTGACCTCAGGTGATCCACCCACCTTGGCCTCCCAAAGTGCTGTGATTACAGGCGTGAGCCACCGTGCCTGACCAAATGTTCTTTTTTGGTTTATTTTTCTCAAGTTATCCAGTTCATCTGTTGCTTACAACCAAAACGACCCTAATTCACAGAGTCCCAAATAAATGAAAACCTCACACACTGAGGCTGGAGGCTCTAGTCAACAGCCCATTGGCATGTCTGATGCGTCTGAGCTGGGCAATGGCACATCCCCATTGAGCAACAATAACCAAAGAGGTTGGGGTGGAAAGTAGAGAATGAAACCTAAAATAGTTTAAAACTCTGGGTTATAAATGACCAAAACCTTTACCAATAATGAACGGGCACAAAGCAGGAGCTTGCTTGAGTGTCTCTCCCAGTTGGTTTCTGAGTTCACTCATCTATGATATGGGAGGTAGGCCTGATGACTAGATGCTGGAAATCTGTGATTTTGCGACACTGCTGTTTTCAGTGTGATAAAACCGAAACTGAGCCTTCACTCTGTACCCTGCTAGGTACTGGCTCAAAGAGATGGGTGGAATGCAGCCCCTGCCCTCAGGTGATATGGTTGGATTTGAGTCTGAGGAAGAGGCCAGGCTAGAGGCACAAAGACTGTTGGGTGACATTGTCCTGGCCTGGGATAACCAGGGCTACAGGCATGGTGTGGAGGCAGGAGGGGCTTCAATGACCGACAGAGCAACAAGAAGGGAGAAGCCCAAGTGACCCAGTTTCCTGATCTGGGGGACGGTATGTTCCTGAGATATTAAAGGGCTACCTTTCCCACCCCCCTCCCCGCTGTGGTTTAATAAGTGGCCTTGAGGGAATTGGGCAACTACAACTCAGAAGTCAGTCCCTTTTTATTTTGTCTCTCAGGATAGTTGCGTTTTTCCTGGCCTCCCAAGAACAGCCCCTTCACGCCAGAAAAGTTGGAGACCACACAGCAGACATCCCTGACACCTGCTTTTCTCATAGTCCTTGTGCTTCTCCAGACCCAGAGAGAGACGCACACCGCAGGGAACTGCTTAGCAACTGCACGTAGGAAATCGGGATTCCAAACTATTCCTGTGGGTTTTTTCCTCCCCACTTTGTTCTCTTGTTTTCAGTCGTTCATGATTCAGTCATTGTTCCATCACAAAACGCACTAACCGGTTCTGCAGGCCCTGGGATCTCAACTGCACTGGGGACACTGCCGCCCTGATTCCTGGGGTCAGGGGGTTTCAGGCAAAGGCCCCAAGTGATTCCCTAAAGACCTGGCCAGGGTGAGCCACACGGGGTGGGCAGCCCCTGTATGAGGCTGTTCTTAGGGCCCCCCTGGGTTTCTCTGGGCCTGGGCCCTTGCTCTCATTCTCTCTCTCTTCATCTCTGCACTCATGTGGGCTCCTGACATTTCTGTTTCCTCTCTTGGTAGAAGGGTCTCTCTCTTACCCATCCACCTCTGTCTTGGTCTCTCTTTATATGCATCTCTGTCTCTTTCTTTATCTCTCTCTGTCTCTGTGAGCCTCTCATCTCTGTGTCTCTATCTTTGTTTTATTTGTCTTTTTTTGTCTCTGCGTCTTTGTTTTCCCACTGTCTTTCTCTGCTTCTGTTTGTGTCTGACTCTCTTTATGTGTCTCTGTGCTTGTCTCTTTCAGTCTCTGTAAGTTTGTATCTCTCACTCTGTCTCTGCATCTCTCGGTTTCTCATTTCTCCATCTTTCTGTTTTCTTTTTGTCGCCCTCTCTGTTCTTTCTCTGACTCTTGTTTCTCTGAGCCTCTCTTCTTCTCTCTCTCCCTTCCCCCACACCCCCTCTCTTTCTGAATTTCTCTTTGAAGCTCAGAAGCTTGGCCCAAGTCCCAAATGAAATGGGCTCAGTTTCCAGAATAGCTAACTTTGCACATTGAGAGTTAATTTTTTCCCTCGTCATCAACTTCCCTCCTATTCTAGAATGCCTGAGTCTGGCCCAAAGGGCTTCCTAGGAAAGGGCCCACGTGCCGCGGCAGAAGCCACACAGCCATGCTGCACCCCAGAGAGCGCCAAAGAAGATCGATTGACAACTGCAACATGCAACGTGCCAGATTTCTCTGGCAGTGCTCCAGCTAGTCAGAGCCAATTAATATGAAACCAATAGGCCAAATCAACGTTTTCAGAAGTTAACTCAAAAAAATCCCAGAAGATTAACCAGCCTGTGGCCTTTGCTATGAAATTGTTACCACACCACTTTCTTTTCTTTTGAAAGTCCAGATGGGCAGATAAATCCAAAGTGGATCAACCACATCTGCCATTCCTCCACACAAATTACACCCCCTCCCACAACTTCCCTCTTCCCTCTCCAGCATGCAAAGCACTCAGGGCCTGGGCTGAATTGACATTTTATGCCACACTGTATGTTTTGAATTCCTCATTGTATTATGAGGAACTGCATCATGACCCCTCTGAGGCAAAGAGCTGGCAGATTCTGAAATTTGCCTTCTCCAAAGGTGAGAACTGCATTTGTGGAGGGACGGCTTTCTTCCAGGCACAAAATGAGCCAAGAGTAGAACCCAGCCCCGTTGGCTGCCTTCTCCAGTGTTCTGAACCGGTATTCAAATCAGCAAAGTCCAGGTGGGTGTTTTCTATTAATAATGCCCCCTTTTCTACATTTGCTAGGTAATGTATTATAGTGTCATGCCCAGTTGAGAGATGAGGTTATTAATAAAGTCCTTTCTTGAAGAAGAGAGTTGGGGGAAGGAAAGGAGAGAGGCAGGAGGGTTCCTTGGGATGGGCACCTCTCCTGCAGAGTAGCTGGTGTTGCTGGAATCTGGGCAGCCTATGGGGTTTGAGTCAAATGTCAAAAGTTAAGGCCACCACCCCAGGATGTCTGTATAAATGGGTCCTTGAAACAAGAAGGACTTGAGATGTCAGAAATTGAAAATCTTGGGAAGAACCAAATCAAGAGAGTACTGGAACATAATGCTGGGAAATACTCAAGAAACTGATGTTCATGCTGGCTTTTTGAGTGCTTCCTGGGTAGAGTGCACCGGAGTGTTAAAAGGCTAAGAACAGATTGACATAATCTGGAGCACAGTAGGAAACTTTCCAAGCTCAAATCCTTTAATTCCAAAACTTGTGTTCTTTAGGTAAATTAGTAAGCATTTTCCAAAGTTTCTCTATGAAGAAAGGAGCCGGGTGAATATACATTTTATACAGCTAGGGACACCTATTAAAAGCTCACTTTCCCTTTAAGATTATTAAGAAAAGTATAGGGAATGTTCTATTTTATGTGGGCTGGGACTCTTGGCACAAAAACTGAGATTTTACCTAAGAAACTGAAATCGCGGAATTCCAGAGCAGGAAAATATTTCGAGATCAACTGTTCTTTAATACCCTTTTCATTTGACAGACAAGGAAACAGAAGCCGAGAGATGGAATATTGCATACAAGGTTGCACAGCAAGTGTGATGGGTGGTGACTTATACCTCAACCCCAACCTTGCAAGTTGGCCATGTGGTTGTGACATTTCTTCATGCCATTCTCAGAACACCAGTGAACAAAAACGATGTTGTTTGGGTAGATTAGCATTCCTGGGGTTTGAGTCTTTAAAATGTGGTTGTTTAGAAGTTTGAGAGAGGTTAGTCTTACAGAAAAGCACCTTGGGTTTTGCATGGCCATGTTAGCAGGACAAGCAGCACCCATAGGCTATCCTGAGTTCCTGACACCAGTGACCTTCCCGGGTTTGGCCCAGCATGCTTCTCTGTTCCCAACCAGAGCATGGCTTGGGTAGTGTCCCACTTGCTGGTTTTTGTGCTGGCCTCCACACTGGACCTTGAGATGCCCTGCCTGTGTATCATTTGGCAGCTCATCTGGCCCCAAAGACCTGAGCAGATCTGTCCTCTTCCTGCCTGGCCTGCCTCCAAAGTCTGATGCCTGGTCCTTGTCTTGATGTTGGCTTGAACTGGACAGTTTCTGTCATTATCCTGGCCACACATTCAAGGTTACTTGATGGAGATGCCCTGAGGACTTTGGGAATCTACAGCGTCTGCCGCATGCCAGATATGACCTCACAGTGATAAAAGTAAGATCATCGCTTGATCCAATCACTATATCTCCCCACCCTTCCCACCATCCACAAACACATGCACCTATGTGCGCATTTTACAGACTAATCAGTTGAAGCTCGCAAAAGAGAAGCGATGGCCCCAAAGCACACAACCCTATGTGGTAGAGTTTCAGCTCAAGGTAGAGACTTCACTATAAGAAGCCATCCCTCCATTTTCAGTTCTAATGAAGAAAATCTTTTTGGGTTGTTGTATCCAACCTATATTTTACAGAAGTACGTTCTTAGTTCCTGTCCAAATGTTAGACGACACCAGCAGAAGAACAGCAAAGCCTAGTCTGGGTCATTTCCTATGACTACAAAATCATTAGATACAAAAAGGTATGTCTGAAAATTGTAAATGTTAAGAAGACAATACTCATTCACTGTTCCCTAGTACCAAGTCCTGTTTAAGCACCTTACATGTACTAGTTCATTTAATCTTCACAATAGCCCCATGAGGAAGGTACTAGTTTTTTCCAGCTTTCCAGATGAGGAAATTAAGGAATAGAGAGATTAGGTTACTTGTCAGAGGTCACACTGCTAAAAAATAGCAGAGCTGGGATTCAATCCAGGCTGTCTGCCTCCAGAGCCACATTCTTAGGTGCTATGCTGGGCTATCAAAAATATTTTGGCAGCTGAAGAAGTAGTCCAAATCACATATTGTTAGATTTGTTGAACAACAACTGCTAAACTCTGCATAGCTCTTTGGCATTTGCTGCTTAATCAAGTATGATTAGCTTTGTTGAAGAATAACCACTAACCTCTGCATAGCTTGTGCATGTGAATTTTTAGTGTGTAACCTCTCATGGCTGCTCAAACCCCAGAACATGGAAGACTTAGGGGGACGGAAAGTGACTTTAGTGGTAAGTGGCAGAATGAGGATTTGAACTCAGCCCAAATTAAAGCATACTACTTTATCTATATTTTACATAAGAGGAATCTGAGGCTCAGAGGGATTCAGTAAGGCAAATCCCTCTCTTCGCAGGGAGCCCAGCATAGCCGTTTGTATGGGATTAGTGCTAAGTATGTATGAAGTCCTATGTCAAACCGTGTCTCCGGACTGAAGGATTCAAGGCTCCTGGCCTTAGTCCCTTGGGCAGAGTCTGGGGTCTCTATTGCATTCATGCTGGGGAGAAGAGATTTACACAATACCCAACCAGATGCTGTAGGAGAATGAGGGAGAAGAGTGAGGCACAGGGTGAGCTGGGCTGAGGCTATCTGAGAATTCAGGCTCCAGGCTCCTGTGTGTAGGGCATGATTGTGGACCCTTGATCTGGAGAACCTTGAAGAGGAAGCAAATAGCATCAACTCATTTCTGCAGGACATAGAATTGGCCATCATCAGTCAACATGGGTTTCAATCTTAGATTGGTCTCTCTAAAGTCTTGTTTACTCCATTTATAAAATAGGGTCAAAACACTACTGACAGTACTAATTTGATTAGCGATTAAGTAAGATAATATAGCTCTTATTGATGACACATAGTGGGCCACCATACTTTTGTTTCCTTCCCCATCTTCTCTGTCAAACTCTGTCTTCCTTGACAATTATCTGAAGAAGGCATTGATGTGATTTTATTTCCATGCAAGGATGAAATGAAATGAAAAGTAATTTTTAATGGCTTGCTGGTGTTAGGGGTTTTCAACCCTCCTTTTGCAATTGGCAGCAAAGGGTAACTCAGATGATGCACTAGTGTCCAGTGGCTGCTGTAATGAATGACCACCAGCCTGGTATCTTAAAGCAACAGAAATGTATTTGCTCCCAGTTCTAGAGGCCAGAAGTCCAAAGTCAAGGTGTTGTCAAGGTTTGGTTCCTTCCGGAGGCTCTGAGGAGGAATTCATTTCCAGACTCTCCCCTAGTTGCTGGTCCCTGATGGAAGTCCTTGACAATCCATGGCTTGTAGACTCATAAGGACAGTAGTCATTGGATTTAAGGCCCACTCAAATCCAGGATGATCCTATTTTGAGATTACCTTAATCCTATCTGTAAATATCCTTATAAGCTCACATCCTGAGTTTCCAGTGGACATGAATTTTAGGGAGGTGGGGTTCACTATTCAATTAACTATAGGCAGATTTCACAGGAGAAAAGGATACTGGATTAATATAATTAACTGTGGATTTTGCTTTGCCACTTGCCGCTCACTTGCTGGATAACCCTGGCCACATTACTTCCTTTGATCCTCAGCTCACTCCCCACATCACCTATAACGAGACCATGCAGAAGAGAGAACTTTGTAAAATTTTACCTAAGGCTGAGTGGGTTTTATGACTGGAGAGTGGATAAATGGGAACCCAGTGAGAAAAGAGACTGACAAAGTAGGGCTTTGCTGGCATCTTCTAAGTAGCAGCTGAAAATATTTTCCTCAAATGCCCATACATATCAGCATGCCCCACAGCCTTTTACTAAATTGGCCATCTTGATCTCTTCTTGACCAGGTTGTTCTGCCTTTCTGGAACTTGCAACTCTGAGGCTTCAGCAAGAGGGCGACGCCTGAGCCCCTGCCCATTTCTCCAAGCATGCAGGCATTATATAACTGCATTGACAAACAGCCACCTGTCTCTGGCAGTGTGACCTGAAACCCATTCTCTGAGACTTGTCTGCGGGCTCTCAGTATACACTGTAACCGAGGAAATGCATGCTTTACAGATGTTTATCTCCTAATTAAGAATCTGATGTGCCACTTACGGTAATGTACTTGCTCATGCTAATAGTTTCTCTTTCCTCAGAGGATCTGCCAGGGCGGATTTGATGCAACAAAAGAGAGTGTCCCTGGTGTGTTTTAATTAGGCTATTGGTCTCCAGTCATGGTGAGTACCAGGTGCCAGGCCTGCTGCAAAGCAGTTCAGATCAACAACCATCCACTGATTTCTATTCTAAGGTGAATGAGGTAGACTCTGCTTTTGAGGAGCTTTCAGCCTCCAGGGAGGGGGCTTGACAGACACAGATGACTAATTAGCATGCAAGGTGTTCAGTGCTCTAAACCAGTCCTGTGGGCTGAGGACTTGGAATTCCACTGGAGGCTTGGAGTTTAGTGAAGATGGGACAATTTAGCCAAGCTTGTCAAAAGAGACCAGTGGGAATTTATCAGGCAGACATGGAGCAGGACTACTATTCCTGGCAGAGGAAACGGCCTGAGTAAAGGCATAAAGGTGTAAAAAAGCAGATATTTGGCATGAGGTTGATGCCTGGGGTATATGGACAGAGTGGGAAGGGATGAGGGCAGACACCATGGGGACAGATCACACAGTGCCTTAAAAGTCAGGCCAAGGAGTTGATTCTGTAAATGCCAAAGGTGATATGATGGTGCTTGATTGGGAAGGAACATGATCGGGAGTGTATTGTAGATCAGTCACTGGCTGTAGCCTAGAAGACTGAACAGGAGGCCAAGGGAAGGCAGAAGGAACAGAAACTGTTGCAACACTTCAAGTTCAAGATGATGGTGGCCTGATTGGAGTAGTGCCAGGGGAATGGATGAGTAGAACTCATATAATTATCCATCGGAGGTTGCAGGGAGAGGAGTGAGGTAGGAATGGAGGAAAAGTCTGCATTTCTCTCTGGGATGACTTAGATATGGTCCATGAACTGAGATGAGGACTTCAGGAGGGGGTGCAAATCTGGGGGAGTTGGTGGAAAGGGTACACTTGAGATGAAGGTTGACTTAGGAGCCACCTGGTCATGAATCTAGGAAACCCACTCCATGCTGGGTGGGCTCCGTGATTTTAGGTGCCTAAGGAGAATCTTAGCTTATATATTCCTATAATAAAAGTGCTGTGGGACCATCCACTGCAAGGACTGGAGTGGGTGTTCTAAACCTGCAGTTCCAGCCTTGACCACCCTGCCTAAGCGTCAAGGGGAACTTGCTGTGAAGCTCTGGAATCCTGACCTCAGGTGTCAGCCTCCACTCTGCCCCCTCGACCACAGGTTAACAATTTCCCAAACACCTTCAGACCCTCCACCCCTGCCCCTCCAGCACTTCCTCTCTACTCCTCTCCCTCCTCTTCCTCCTCTTCTGCCTAGTGCCTTGCCTGGACTTGCTCAGAACAGGGATTCTCTGATTCTCTTACCCTGCCTTGGCCCATGGTTGGGATTTGGTGGGTGGTAAGGCAGGAGGTGGGCAGAAGACGGTAGCATCTCCTTCCCCAACTTTGCCCCCCTTCCTGTCACATTTCTTCTTTTGCGTCTTTCCAGAAAAAGACATTATGGTCAGATGGGCTACAAGTTGGGTCTTACGGAGAGAGAAGGAGGATGCTTGATAGTACTGAGTGATTCAAAGGCATTGAAAAACTGGCCCCATTATAAGGAGCAACTCCACAATAAAACAATTGCCCAATAGAATTGGCATCTAACAGGTCTTTCTTATTTGTAATTGTCAGAGGCATTTGAACCAGAACAACTCCATCTTGAATAGGGGCTGGGAAATACAAAGCTGAGACCTACTGGGTTGCATTCCCAGGAGGTTAGGCATTCTAAGTCACAGGATAAGATAGATAGGAGGTCGGCACAAGATATAGGTCACAAAGACCTTGCTGATAAAAGGATGCAGTAAAGAAGCCAGCCAAAGCCCACCAAACCAAGATGGCGACGAAAGTGACCTCTGGTCGTCTCACTGCTCATTATGCACTAGTTATAATGCATTAGCGTGCTAAAAGACACTCCAACCAGCACCATGACAGTTTACAAATGCCTTAGCAACATCAGGAAGCTACCCTATATGGTCTAAAAAGGGGAGGAATCCTCAGTTGCAGGAATTGCCCACTCCTTTCCTGGAAAACTCATGAATAATCATACCTCTTGTTAACATATTATCAAGAAATAACCATAAAAATAGCCAACCAGCAGCGCTGGGGGCTGCTCTGTCTATGGGATAGCCATTCTTTGATTTCTTTACTTTCCTAATAAACTTGCTTTCACTTTATGGACTCCAAATTCTTCCTTGCGGGAGATCCAAGAACCCTTTCTTGGGGTCTGGATCGGGACCCCTTTCCAGTAACGTCATCATTGCTTTTTTTCTCCTTTCTCTCTTTCTTCCCTTCTTCAGTAAGTAGGAACAGAGCACCTTCTCTGGTCAAGCACTGGCTAGAGCCTGGGGACACAAGAGGCGAGTAAGTCAGAGAGCAGGTCTACCAGGAGCACCAGATCTAGAGGCAGAAAAGAAAGCAGATGATCACGGCTCCCAAATGGAGGCCCATGGCTAGAGAAGCCCAAGGGAAGGGAACAAGTAGTTTGAGAACAGAGCTGCTTCATCCATGTGCAGGATAAGTTTTCACAGGGAGAAAGGAAACAGGCCATTGCAGGCAAAAACATGACATGAAAGGCGATGCCTGGTTCTATCTTTCCTCTTTCCTTTCTTCATCTCGCTTCTCCTATTTTCTCTTTCATCTTCTTATCTCAACAAAACACTAATGAAATATTTGCACTATTTTTAAGCTAATATGTATTATTTTTATCTAATGCTGCTTGTGACATAAAGACAATCTCCTATCACTCCCACCACAGAGATGACGCAAGTGTGGCTTGAAGACTTTAGGTGACATCCTGGTGGGTGGCTAGAGGGTAATGGACTTTGGAATTGGACGGTGAAAGCTGTTCTCCCCTCCATTTTTTATACCACCTCCTTTTGGAAAAATTTGGAAAGCAGTTATGTGCATTTATTCTAATCTGTGTAAGTGCCTTCTTGCCATTGTATGAGAAAATAATATGAATGGGTAAGAAATGCACTAAATAGGAGGTCAGGAGACCTGGTCCTGTTATCTTTCCATAGGACCTCAGGGAGAGGATGAGGAGGGTCCTTCTTTTGCCTCCCATGCCCTACATACCTTGAGGTTCCCTGAGCAGAACAAATGGAACCAACCACATAGCCCAGAGGTTTGCTGTTGCTCTTGCAGGGCTGTCCAGGGCTCATTGCTTGGCTTAATACTCTGCTGTCTCCACTTTAAAACTCTTTATAATTTTAATAAGGCCCTGCATTTTTATTTTGCACTGGGACCCACAAATCACGTAGCCAGTCCTTCTCAGGAAACCTGCTTTCCTGCCCATTCACTGTCTCACTGTCGCTGTCTGGCTGCCTCCCTTCAAGTGATTCCCTACTAGCTCCCCTGAGGCCAAGACTGTTCCTTTGATCTGAGACACGGGCTGGTTCCTGGGTCCATGCAGAATAGCAGAATGATGGTGTCCAGCACCAGACATGATTATCCAAATCATTTCCTCCTGTGACCAGGACCTGGCTTAATACTTCCCAGGTACCAGGTGTTCCCCAAATATCTGCACGTGGAAGGGTTTGGGTAGCTCCATTCTTTTCTCTTTTGATAAAACAATTAGGTCATTTAGAATATGAAAAGCTTTGAAATCATGAAAGTACTTTATTTGAAGTTTGGGGAAGAAAGGACTTTGATGGTAAAGAGAAAGACAGCTATTTCCATTTTAAACAAAGAAACAGCAGGAGAGATTTCTGGGAGAAGGTAATAACTCAGATTCTGTTGTCCACAATATTGGTAAGAGACTTTACAGAGTCACTCAGTTAGTAAATTGAGACTAGTCCCAGTAGGTAGACATTGCAGAAAGAAATCTTTGGCCTCAGAATAATGAAGAGATTCTAGCATTCAGAGATTTCCAGATGGAGATTTGGCCAACTCATAAGACAGTGAAGTGTTTATCCCTGGAAGCAATGAGCAAATTGCTGGTTTATGCCCATTCAACAGAGGGGTGGAGAAGAGCTGAGCATCAAATGGGCAATTGGACCAGATAGAGTTTAAGATTTTTAACAACCCTGGCAACCTGTGTTAGTTGATTCTAGTGACTCTGAGATACTGGGTTTTTCTAACCCAGAGATTCTATTTTTTTTTTTTTTTTTTTTTTTTGGTTTGTACCTAAAAGCTAAAGTTACCGACTTTCTATTTCTGCAGGAAACAAATGAAGAATCCAAATTTTCATATTTACCATATAAGCAGGAAGATATTGATTGCTTGAAATTACTGTTATAATTCCATAATTCTAGCCGGTGGCTTTCTTAAAATGAATGAATGAATGAACAAATTAATTAAGGAAAGAAATGAGAAACATTCAGTGCAGAAACAGTTCTTTCAAGATTACCAAGGTCAGGAAGGGTAGACCCCAGGTGGTGGTTCTCTCTGGACATGAGGTTCCATAATCTTAGAAACTGTTGTGATGCCAGCAGCCTCTAGGGTATCCATTTCCCTGCACAGACTGGAGTGAACAACATTAGCACACACCTGGCCAAGGGCCTGGAAAGAGGATGTTTGTGAAACACTAATAGAAGCTTCTGTGTAACATCACAGTGTTCCCAGCACTTCCTCGGGCAGAAGCCACATCCTGGAAACAAGCCGTGTACAGGTACATGAAGATGCAGTTGGCAACGTTCGTGTTTATTCCATTGAAAGCATGAAAGGCACCGGTCCTGAGGTCAGGAGTCCTGTGTGCTGGTCCTTGTTCTGCCTCTAAATACTTAGGTGGCTTTGGCAAAGTCCCTTCTCCTCCTGGGGACTCAGTTTTTCCATTTTTAAAATAGGGATGATAATAGTTTTACTCCATACAATGGTTGTGAGGGTTGAATTAGTTAACATTTGTAAAATGCCTTAAAAAGTGCCCATTGTAAATACTATATAAATAATGAACCCAGAAGTGTCACTAGTCTTTACAGTAACCTCTTTAGATAGGCATTCTCTAAAGGAATCTGAGGCTCAGGTAGTCAGTGAAGTCCCCAAGGTAATATACCTGGCCATCACCCCACTTTTCCACTGTCAGCAGGGCTAGATCAGCTATAAAATGACTTCCAATTCTGACATTCAGAGATCCCATCTTTATAAACTGACAACTTTGCCTGGATTACATGTGTCCCTTAGTTCTCGTGGGCACCAGCTAGATGTAGGAAAGGTTCACTCGCAAGGGGACCTCCAATTCTGTTGGTGATGTGAAAGGCCATTTTCAGCATCAGCATCTTGCTCTGTGTTCAGTGTGGCCTTGGAGGCTTTGACAGACCCTGACTATGTAACCTAGAGCTGCTGGGCCTCCTTTACATTAATGACGTGGAGCCTGGTTCTCCCAGCTCTGCGGCAATTCTAAATACATTCCAGGGTTGCCAAAATAAATGTCGAATCCTGATTCTCTCTTTGTAGTCCCTGTTTGTTAGGTCAACATCCCATAGCCTTCCAAGCTACTACAAATATTAGTGTCTGCTCCTCCCTTGTCCTCCTGTGTAATCGATCACCAATCCTGTCTTCAAGGTTAGTCCCATATGCTGCTTGAAATTTCTAAGTGAATCTGCATTATGTATGACATCTAAGCTTATCATTCTAGCACCTCAGGTGTTAGCTCCTCCCTACCTAGCTTCCTCTCCTACTCTCTCATTCTCCCTCCATGGGCTTCCCCTCACTGGCCTCCAGGGCGGCCAGCCCTCCATCTGTGAAGAACCTCTTGCTATAATCTGAACACGCCAGGTTGTCCTCAGTCTTCCTCATCTACACCAGACACTTCTGGGGAAAATGCCCACCCTTTCCTCCTCTCCTGTTATTATGGCTGAAGTGCCCCTCCTTCTGTCTATCTCTAGACCCCATGCATGCCCTGTTGCTTTCTCAGGGACTTCATCTTTCCTCTGTTTTCTTTATTTTTTTGCTTCCTTGTTCCTTTATATAAACTTAAAAATGCTCACTCCCTCCCATTTTAACAAAACTCCCCAATACCCATGTTTCACCCCAGCTATCACCCTTCACAGCCAATACTTTCTGCCACTAATTCTTAACCTCCTACTTACTCTTGAGTTCATTGTAATCTGATTTTTGGTCTTTCCATTTTACTGAAATTATTCCTTGCCATTGTTTCCTCAAACCATCTTTTTCCTAAATCTAAAAGTCTAATCATTCCCAAGGCATTTTTAATTTGACATTTCAAAAGAATGTGATACTCCCCACTTCTTTAAAGTCTCCCTTCCTTCATCCTGGAGTTTGTGGGGTTTTCTCCTCTCTCCTCGGCCACATATCCAACTTCACTTCCTCTGCCTCTACAGACTTCTCTTTTTCTTTCTTCCCTTTAAATGCCTTTCCCCCCTGCAATAATTCTACTAGTCAAGATGGGTTGAACTGCACTAACAAACACCGCTTAAGATCTCAGTGACACATATTTGTTATTTGTTTAGGCTACATACCCAATGCAAGTTGGCAATAGGACAAATCTGAGAACCATGGACAGTCATTCCGCTCTATGAGCAAGACTGACCACTAATCAAGAAAATTCCAACATTTTCCCAGCTAGACTTCAGAATGGCTCTGGTGACAACTTTCTTGAGTGTCTATAGTCATTACCCTATGTCTGTCCCACCACTGTGTCAGGGGCAGATAATTTGTCTCTTTCATTCCCAGGAGTTCAAATTGGGAGAATCTGTACTCAAGGAGCTATACGTAAAGAAGTATACCCAAGAAGATGTATTGACACCTAAACCTGATTTAGATGATGAGATTCCAGACTTCAAGCTGATTGGATAGAATGAGATTTTGGGGAGCCTTGGGGAGGGGCGAATGTGTTTTGGATGTGGGAGGCATGTGAACCATTGGGAGCTGGAGTCACACTGTCACAGCCAGCCTTCAAGATAGCCCTCATTTCCTAGCCTTCTAGTATTCACTTCCTTTTACAGACTCTGCCTCCATTGGATGGGGCTGGCCTGAGTAGCCAGTAGGATATTTCAGAAATGATGGAGTGTGATTTTGAGGGCAGGGCATAAAAGACACAGTGACTTCTGTCTTGTTCTCTGCCTCTGTTATCACTCCCAATGGGGGAAGCAAGAGACTATGTCATGAGGGCATCCAGCAGCACTGTGGAGAGGCCCACACAGCCACGAACAGGGACCTCTTGCCAACTGCTATGTGAGGGAGCCATGTTAGAAGCAGATCTTCCAGCACGTCACATCTTCAGTTGCAACTTTCATTGACTTTCTGATACCACTTCAGAAGAAACCTTAAGTCAGAAACTTCAGATAAGCTAAATTCCTGACCCTCAAATTGTGTCAAATGCGAGTGTCCATTAGCAAGTCTTCATCATCTCCATTTCTGCCCAGTCACATTAACTCTTGACTAAACCACTGCAGCCGCTTCTCTAATAGGTTTCTTTGCTTTCAAATTTCTTTCTTTTCTGAAATTCACTTTCCCTATGCGGACCTGAGTGAAATGTCAAAGTACGAATCTGCTGAAAATCCTCTGAAGATTTTCCAGTGCTCCTAGGAGAAATCCTAAACTTCCCAATGTGGCCTATGAGGGCTGCTTGATCTGACTGCTGCCGACCTTTCCAAAGTAGTTCTCAAGACTCATTCAATTCAAAATTCAGGCCTTCAAATGTCTTTCATTTTCTAGAATAAGCCTTCCTTTTTCTCGTTCCTTGACAAGACTTTTTGCACAAACTACTGTCTGCCCAGAACACTCCTCTGTTCTCTTTTCTCCCCCAGTTATTCTTCTCCCTTTGACCCCACATCTCTGAGAAGCCTGTCCAGACTTTCCTTGTCCAAGTCTGGGAAGCGACCCTCTTCTGTGCTCCATGACAATGTATATCATATCCTTGTCACAATATTATCCATCCCTATGATATTACAGTAACAGTAATATTAATAACTACTCATAACATGCTCTCTGGGACTACCCCTGTGTCATCTGAAGACATTTCCCCTACTCAAGAGCCTCTGCACCTGCCCTCAAAGATGCTCTTTGATCACAGAGCATGCTTGACTCACACTTAGGGCAGGCTAGAAGCACTGCAAAGTTAACCTCAATCAATGAGGGTTAAGAGTTGGTGAATAAATAGCCCATCTTCTTCATTTTAGTGGGCCCCTTCTGAGGTATGCTCTATGATATGTCTCAGAATTTCAATGGGATTAAGCCCCAGTTACCCAGAGGAGTTACCTGTCCATAAACATATCCTTCATTAGTGGTCTTTTTTCCCTCTGTGTCCCATCTCCACTCCCTCACAGCTTCTTGCATCTTTTCCCAAATAAACTACTAGTACACATACCCGTTCTCAGGGTCCGATTTGAGAGTTAACCACACTGGGTCACAACCACCTAGTCAACACTTACCAATGAGCTGGACACTGTGTTAAGCTCTTTATATGCATTATATAATTTAAGTCTCTTAACAACCCAATGAGATAAGTGCTAATTCGTAAAAATTATGGTAATAATACTTACTCAAAGCATTGTTGTGAAGATTAAGTGGAATAATGCATAAAAAGTGCTGAGAACTTGGTAAGACTGGAGGAGAAGACAAACTTGAAGAGTTTAGCACAGCCTTTGGCAGAGTAAGCAATCGGTCATTTGCCCAGGATCACACAGATACTAAGTGATAGATTTTAACCAAATTCTGCCAGATTCCAAAGTCCTATACTGTCTTGTCAGCTGTAACCTTCCCTTCAATTATTTTCTACAGGTGACTGCAGGCTCCATGGGAATAGGAACCATGTTTATTATATTTAGTTTTATTCCCACACCTTGACATTCAGTAGATAGCAAAATATTTGTGTTGAGAACAATCTATTCTTCCCCCTCAAATCTGTTTTATATTTAGTTTATATTCATTACTCACAATAACTTTTCTTTGAGTCATTACTGAGAATAATTATAAAAACTATATATAAAAACAGCATGTCATCTTCAAAAAGTTGAATTTTTCTCTTATTTTTTTTCTTTTCCGGAAAATAGTGTATTTCCATTTCAGGAAGGCAGCATATTTAGTGGTAAGGTCATGCTGGTTTTGAAGTCTGAAGGACTTGGTTCAAATCTTGTATTTTCAACTCTATGACCTTGGAAAAAATACTTAGCCTCTCTGATTTGTAGTTTTCTCATCTATAAAAGAGGAATATTGTACCTCCCATACTAGTTATTTACTGTTGCATAACAAATTACCTCAAAACTTAGTAGTTAAAGACAACAAACATTTACTATCTCACATAGTTTCTGAGGGTCAGTAATCCAGGAGTAGCTTAGCTGGGTTGTTTTAGCTCGAGGTATCTCATAAGGTTGCAGTCAAGTTGTCGACTAGGACTGTCATAATCCGAAGGCTTGACTGGGGCTGAAGATTCACATCCAAGCTCACTCATATACTTGTTGGCAAGACTCTCAGCTCCTCTCCATGACAGCCTCTCAGAGTATGGCAGCTAGCTTTCCCCAGAGAAAACCATCTAAGAGGGAGGGAGAGGTAGCCACCAAGACAGAAGCCACTGGGTCTTTCGTAACCTAATCTTGGAAGTGTCATACCATCACTTCTTCCATATTCTGTTGGTTGCAGAGACCAATCCTAACACAGGGTAGAAGGGGGAACCACACAAGGAAGTGAATACCAGTAGGTGAGATCACTGGGGCCATCTTGGAGTTTAAGCACAACATCTCCCATATGGAGTTGTAATGAGGGTTTTTATGTGCCTAGAACATAGCTATCTCTCAAAAAAAAAAATTCTGTTTTATGGACTCATGGGAAGATACATGAGTTTTAGAACCTGAGGAACACACTTAAAAATTTAGAGTATAGTAGTCATCCCGGCACAATTACTATCAAACAAATCTAGTTATTAAATTTCACATCCTGCTGAGGACTTAGCCAGCAATACTAATGACAGCCAAAACTACAGAGCTTCTCATAGTTTCCAATATTTTGTTTACATTGATCATTAGTTTTAATTTTATGCCATCATATATTTCATTTAGTTCAGCAACTCAAAAATGTATCAGTTATTATGGTCACACTTTCCAAGTAAGGACAATGAGCTTTAGGAAGGTTATGTGATTTGTCTAAGGACACACAGCTATCCAGTGATGAAGTGAAGATTCACCCCAGGACTCATGACTCCAAAGTCTCTTCTCTTTTAATTATCTCATGCTGTATTAGTGCTAAGTCAAACTCATTTTATAAAAAATAAAAAGAGAAGAGGAGGGAGCGTCATCAATATTGCCCTTTCCAGGAATTTCTACATAAGCTGACAGCAGTTTCCTTGGGGTTCTCTTTTCTGTGGTTATCAATTGTTAAACGGCCCAGGATCTCTCAGAGCTCATCCAGGTATGTGCATAGAGCCCTGAAATGCTGATATTGCCTTAGGGGGTTATTTGTTTTTTATAGCCCCACAGGCCATAGCTGGTGCATTTGCCTGAGCTTCCTCATCCTTTGTACATATACCCAGGGAGGAGAAGGTGAATAGATAAGATCTTTCAGCCTGCAGATTTCCAGTAATAAAAGCAAATGCTTTCTGTTGAGACCCAGCTGAGACTGGAGGTGGTGAATAAGGGCTGTATGTGTAAGCACTGTAGGCTTCTGGCCAGTAAAGAATCCAGACACAGCCTGCACCCTCCTGGCCTCCTGGAACTCTAAGAGCACAGAAGGACAGGGTACAGACCTATGGAGTATGACACTTATTCCAGGGACTTTGACCTGCTACATTTACAGGTCATGACAGCTTTGATGCTGCCTCTGGGGAAGGGCCACCATTCAACTTGCCAAGAGAAGAACCAAAGGAACAAAGGCATGAAGCTCTGGGATCATGGCTGGGCCAAGTTACTGACAGTACTATTTGCATAGTTCTGGTCACTTTCCAAATTACCTCTCACTCAGCCTCACCACAGCCCTTATCCACAGAGCCACCTGGGGTGGAATGGGAGGGGCTTTTCTTATCCCCATCCAACAGATGAGGAGACTGTGACTCAGAGAGGTGAATGACTTGGGCAAAGTCTAACAACAGTAACCACAGAGTAATGATTTCTAAGCTACTAATTAACTTTCTAACCATCTACCCATAAGGAATTGGCCTGTAGGTTGAAAAGGCATTCCTGAGTCTCTGTATACCACACACCAAGGATTAATATTCCAAGTAATCATTTTAGAATTTAAAAGTGCAATAGTTAAAATAAAGAAAATAAGATACTGGACACGTCTATTAAAGAAAAACATCAGAATAAACACATCAGAAGACTGACTCATTGGGCGTGGGGATCAGATTCCTTCTAAAAGTCATCATGAAGGAGAGTGGAGAAACATTAAGGAATATGGAAGATAGAAATGGAACTGCCAATATTTGAATAACAGAAGTTCAAGAAATAGAGAAGTAGAGGCAGCAACAAA
The DNA here is from genome assembly GCF_000001405.40 of Homo sapiens. Lineage (NCBI taxonomy): Eukaryota > Metazoa > Chordata > Mammalia > Primates > Hominidae > Homo > Homo sapiens. Next base: position 108,094,827 of record NC_000009.12, read on the forward strand.
GGGAGGAAAATACTTGGAAAAAATATTAAAGATAGATTTTCTAAAAGAAGAAACAAAGGAAATACGGAAGAGAGACTTTGGAATCAAAGTGTCAAATAGGATTTCAAACCCCAAATAAATGTGATTTAATGGAATTTGAAAACATCATAGAGAAAATTCTATGAGCTTCCAGAGGAAAAGAACTTATCACTTTGCAAAAGGACAAGACTCAGAGATTAACCACTGGTATAAGAAGATGATGGAACAATATTTTTAAAGTATTAAATGACTATAACTTTAATGCTAGAATTTTATAACCTCCAAAATTTTCACTTAAATGTGATGGGACAGTAAAGATATTTTCAGGCATTCAAAACCTCAGTAGTTTTACCACACAAAACTTCACTTTGAAAACCCTCCGTGCTTCATTTGATCCTCACAGGTCTGTGATGTGATGGTGGTTAATACTGTCCTTAAAGGCAAGATTAAAATGGTGGAATCACCTATCCATGGTCACACACTTGGGACTCACAGCCAGGTCAGAACTGTGCAAATCTCCTTTTACTCTAGGATGTTGTCTCCTTGATGAAGCAGAAAGGAAGGTCATATAACTGCTCTCACAGCTTTCCTACCTGCCCTTGCCACTCAAGGGAATTCTAGAACTGCCCCCTGCTTCCCCACGTCCATCTTCTCAGGACTCCTGTTTTTCTACCAGAGAGACAAAGTCAATCTATACAATCTATATAATCAAGGAATGAGAAAACATTCCCTGGGGACAAAGAGAAAGAAACACACAGGCTGAGTTGTGTGGGAAAATGTCAGAAAAAAAACCAGGATGGGAAGCTGCTCTGGGATATAAGGAATCTGTGAGGAATAAGGGAAAGTCATTCAGAGCTATAGAAGATCAGGAATGGTGTCCCACTGATGTTCTCTAAGAAATGCAAATAGAGGTTTTGAGTAACATTGTAGTTGCTTTTCTTTTATTCTTTTCTTTTTTTTTTTTTTTTTTTTCTGAGATAGAGCCTCATTCTATCACCCGGGCTGGAGTGCAGTGCTCAGTCTCAGCTCACTGCAACCTCCCCCTCCCAGGTTCAAGTGATTCTCCTGCCTCAGCCTCCCAAGTAGCTGAGACTACAGGTGAAGACCAACACACACTGCTAATTTTTTATTTTTAGTAGAGATGGGGTTTCATCATATTGAGCAGGTTGGTCTCGAACTCCAGATCTCAAGTGATGTGCCACCTCAGCCTCCCAAAGTTCTGGGATTATGGGTGTGAGCCTGGGATTATGGCCCCTGGCCACAGTTGCTTTGAATTGTTGGAGAAGTATTTCCTTGGAAGTGAAATTGATCTGGGATTGGACTTTGTGGGTTCCTAGATTTGTAAGGAACATACCTATAACTGTGTAATAGCTTATCTGCTGTGGAGCAGACTTCCTTCACAAAAGGGATCCTGAAATAATAATAATAGTAATAATGAAAAGATAGTGACCCTGAATGTGTGCTCCAGTGGTTGAAACCTTTGATTTCTGTCGGGTATGTTAGGGGAGCAGGGAGGTAGCCCACCATCTGTATTTGTCTTTTTTCTCCTTTTGTTTCTACTTAACCATTTTCCATTCCTCATTGCCTTTCTCACTGTGACAATGCTTTATTTCCACAGGGCAGTTTATTGTTATGGACCAAGCAAGGGTCAGGCCAATTTGAGTCCTAATCTCAAACCCTCACTAGTCTTGTCCCTTGATCTTAGATAAATTACTTTTTTTTTTTCCAGGTAGAAATCATGTTTCCTTTTAACTGAATACTTAATTCACAACTTTTTTTCCTCTTGGTTGCTACTCTGGTAATAATTATGCCCCCACCTATCAAGAACACTGCATCTGACCAGACTGAGAGCCAGTGTGAACATGGGCCCCAAACCAAGGCTTTCAGAATAATAAGGAACAGCAAAAACCAGCCTCTCCCCTCACTTAGAAAGGGGCTATGATTGGGAGGGTCCAAATTTTCACCATCCAAACACAGAAAACCAGAAACTCAATGCCAACATGGAAACCAGAATGTATCAGGAATGAAGTACAGTACCCCCTCATATACACAAGGTCAAGATGGGTTTGGAGAAAGATATATTTGACCATCTGGCCTCTTCTAGTAGATAGGGCCCCAGCCTAGCATTTTTAAAGGAAGATATTTTTGTTTCTGTTACTTGCATTACTTCTCAAAGGGGTATACAATCTACTAAATGGGATATAATGAAGGAGAATAAATCTTCTCACACACAAGAAACATTGCTGGATAATGATTTTTAGTTGCTGAAAATCAGCGCATTATTTAAAAGTGGCAAAAATTCAAGGCAATCTGAGGAAGAATTCAAAAGTGGTGGCTACATTTGCTGGCAGGTTTAGGTAGGACATGCACACTTAAAACTCCCATTTTTTTTTTTTTTTTTTTTTTTTTAGTGTATATGTCAAGAGGCCAAAACCTCTGATCATCAAAATAAGCAATTTTGTATATTACAGTGCACAGGACAACAGAGGGAAAGAGGCTCTCTTGGAGAGTGACTAAAAGGTCTTTTGCAAAAGATTTGTATTACTTTGAAGTGGAAGGACTGGAGCCCAGGGCCATGTGGCCTTCATTAACTTGACCCTTCCTTTTCTTTGGTTGCAGTAGCCTCATTGGGAGCTGTTTCTTCTACATGTTCTGCTGGCTTCTCCTCTACCTCTTCCTCCCCTTCTTGGGGATAGAGATCTGGATATTCCTGCCTGCCTTCCTGCATGGCTCGGAACTGGTCTACACAGTCTGACCCCTTGACCTGCTCATGTTATGGTGGAAGCAGGAAAAGGCTGCCTTGAACTGTTCCCTGTAGGAGCCATTGGCCATTCCCCCAAGGAAGAGGCAGTGCCAAAGTCTCCCATTTGGCAGCATCAATCCATGCTTCTCCTAGGGAGGGATCGTTGGGGTCATCAGCCACCAGCTCTGCAATGCTTGGAGTTTTGTAGTCTTCTTTGGTCACAAATATGATGTGATCCTTCTGTTCCTGTCAGCAGTAGGACATGGCTGCAGCCCAGCCCTTAGACCTCATAGAAGGAACAGTGGCTGTTGCAGCTTCACGCGATGACCTCCCTCTCCTCAGGCAGGGCAGGTGCCTCTGAGGCCTGTGCAGACCGGAGATAAATTACTTAATCTTCCTGGATCTCAATTTTTTTTGTCTGTGGAATGGATTAAATCATAGCCATTCCCTGGCAGAGTTATTGAGAGGACTGCATGAGGTAATGAAGGTGAAGCCCCCGGCCAAGAGTGAGTGTCCACACACCTTCACCCTCATTCCCTTTTGACTTGGCTCCTTCATGAGGCACTTTCTGTTATCAGTTAATGCAGAACCAATAAAGGACATGAGGACTCTTGACCATCAGTAAACTGATGCTCAAGGATCCCTTTCTTGCATCTCATTGACTCTTCCACAAATGAACCTTTTCCCTCTTGAACATCAGCTGATCATCTTCTGAAAGGCCCTGCCTCAATTCTGAAACTCTACTCTGTCTTAAAAGTAGCAGTGATGGGAGACATCCTTCATCTCTATGTGATCTTCAAGAGAATGTATCTAAAGTTTCTCCAATGAGTATGATGTTTGCAATAGATTTTTGATATGAAACCTTTATCCTTGGTTGCTGAAATTCATGTTTGTTTTTGTTTTCTCTTGTGATCAGAAGTAGACACTGAACATATCACATGATTTTCTTCACGTATCAGGTAATCATATGCAGTTTTCTTTTATATATTGATACAGATAAATTATTTTTATAGATTATCTGATGTTAAAACATACATTCATTCCCCCCAAAAACCTTACTTAAGTATAAGATATATTCTTAATTGGCTAGTGAACTTGTATTATTCAGATCAGGTAATCACCTATTGATTTTTGGATATTTCATCTGTTGTGTTTTTTAAAGAGAGGTGTTTAAAAATCTCTAATTATAATTGCTGCTATATGTGTTGCTTCTCACAGTTTTATAAATTATATATATGTATTTGGAGGCTACATTTTAGAGGCCTATGTGCTCATGATGGGTCTTTCATCTTGCTCTGTTGGTTTAGAATATTTTTCTTTAAGATATTGTTTCCCTACAGTTTTCAAGACTGTTATTCCAGATTTCACTTGCTTCATATTGGCATGATATTTCTTTTCTCATCCTTAGATTTTGAAATTTTCTTGCATCCTTTTGATTTGTGTGTCTGTCGACCACACAATTTGTGTTTTTAAAAATCTCAATGGAGACTCTGTCTTTTAATTGGTGAGCTTAACCATTTACATCTATTTTAATTACCGTAATATTACATTCTTGTGTGCTTTCTATTATGAAAGCTTTTGACAATAAAATACAATTAAACTCTTAAATACAAAGTTTGATTTATTCAATGCAAAACATCTGTTGTTTCTTTTTTCTCTTTCCCTTTTCCAGTTTACGTTGTTAATATCAATGTTTAAATATGCTAATAGTATTTTAAATGTATTACTATTTATGTCTTTCATAAAAATACAGGTTGTGCAGCATGTTCTCATGTTACTTTTATCTTTAATCCTACCCTCAGCCCCACCTCTGCTGTGACTTGTCTAAAATTATAATTCTGTTTTTCTTATGTTTTCTTTAGTGCTTGTCTTTAAAAAAAAAAAAAAGACAACAACTTTATTAAGTAACCTGATCACTCCTTTCTATACCTCTTCAAGTTCCCTCCTGTATTTATTTTTGTTTTTATCTGCTCATTTCATTTCTACCAGGAGTGTTTTCAAAGTGGAGTTTTGGGTAGTAAAACTTCTAAGTTTGCTTCATAGGGATGCACTTTTATTTGTGATTCCTACTCTACCTTGAAAAACCATTCAATGGGGCCGGGTGCGGTGGCTCATGCCTGTAGTCTCAGCACTTCGGGAGGCCAAGGTGGCCAGATCACGAGGTCAGGAGATCGAGACCATCCTGGCTAACATGGTGAAACCCCGTCTCTGCTAAAAATACAAAACATTAGCCAGGTATTGTGGCAGGCACCTGTAGTACCAGCTACTCGGGAGGCTGAGGCAGGAGAATGACATGAACCCAGGAGGTGGAGCTTGCAGTGAGCCAAGATCACACCACTGCACTCCAGCCTGGGTGACAGAGCAAGATTCCGTAAAAAAAAAAAAAAACTATTCAATGGGATAATCTTCTGCCCCAGTCAGCTCTCATTGTTCACTTCCTCGTAGGTCAGAGTGCAACAGGCCCTTTGAAATCATAATCTCAATGCTGATACTTGAATGTGTCCACTCCCAGAAATGAATCACAATGCCAAATTTGGGTTAGTGTCAAGCCTTCCCCCACTCTTATTTTGAGCTGTTTGGCTTTGAAGCCAGCAATGGCATGAAGGGCATGGCTGGATTCTTCATTTCTCCATCTGTCCTCCACCTGGGGCACTCTGGCCTTCAATCCCCTTACTGGTTTCTGTTTTGATTTCCCTCAAGTTCTCAGGTTGTGGAGGAAGACAGAGGAGGGATAAATTCAGGTAAGTATTTTTGGAATGAATTTTATTCTAAGCTGATTCTGAGCTCTCTGGATCAGGCAAGATCCAGATGCCTACAAGCTCACTCTTTTTTTACTGGGCATTTTTGTGGGTTCTTTGAAGGGTCCCTCCTAGGCCCTTCTATCCTTCAGTTCCTGGACAGGAGTGGATGTACCACTATTCTAGCTGGTCTCTTTCAATTCTTTCCTCAGTCTTAGGATTGCAGAGATATCCATCTCCCCAACTACCACCACCACTTCCTTCCCTACCTCAAGATGACACTACTGAAGATGTGGAAAGATACACCTCCCCGCTCCCCCATAACCCATACCCACACACACACAAACGCACACACAGGCTTTTCTCCTGCACATGGCCCACTACTGGGCCACAAAAAGTACCCACAAATCCCTTGTTCCAACAACCGGAGAAAGCAGACTGATAACAGCAAACATTCTCTCCTGGCTCTGCCCCAAGCTCTTAATCTCTCACTCCCTAGAATTCCCAGGCATGTGGGAAAATGCGGGACACCAATTTCTACATCAACCCACTGCAGGGAACAAAACTCAAAGCTCCGCAATGGTCCTACTGAAGTCCCCCTCACTCGTCTGGAGTTGAAAAGAACTCAATGGAATAGTTCCCTCCAAAGAACTCCCTTCACAAAATCTGCCCTTTCCTCATTTAGTAAAGAAGTGCTGGAGGGCATTCAATAGACAAACAACAGCTTGAGTTTTTGGTGTCAACTTGCCTAGTTTCAAATACTTGTGTTATGGTCTTGGCTGAGTTATCTTCTCTATGCCTCAGTTTCATTATCTGTAAAATGTGGATAACATCAGGACTTAGCTACAAAATTGCTGTAAGGATTAAACAGGATAACGCATTGGAGAACACTTACAGACAAACAGAAAGTGCCAGCTGTTATTCTTAAAACAAACTGCAAATCTCTGTATAAATAGTAGATTTATCATTATAACATAATGACCCAATAGGTTCCTCATGATTTTGGAATCAGAATTTATAAATTTTCCTGACTCCATGAGCTTAAGTATGCATAAGCTTGAATCAGCTTGAAGGAAACCCCTAGATAATTTTTATCATTATTTCCATATAATCTGCTGACAAATTACAAATGGTTTTCAAAATTGCAAACTGCAGTGATAACATTTTTACAGAAAATAAATAGAGCTGCTACTTCCTCACTGTCTGGTGTGATCATCCATTTATCTCCCTGGCTGCTGGGAACATTGATGACAGGGGCTTGAGATATCCTTTCTTCCTTCTGAGACTGACAAATACAAATTTATCAAAATTCAGTTGAAATGTCATCTTTGGTTTGGTGAAAGCTGACTTAACCAACTCCTCCAAACACAATTGTTTTCTTCCCTTCTCTACATTCTGATATGATTTTGTACAGTTCCCCCTTCTTATCTAACTCTAGCGTGTCTGGTTTCTGACTGTCTATGGCCCCTTGGATTGAACTTCTGTCCTTACTCTTAAATATGACCTTGACTCTAGGTACTGTTCCTCACACACCCATTTCATCCACACTTGATGGTAGTGTGACCATAAATATGCTGGTTCATCTCCCTTTCCCCCCATGATAATTTGATTTTGGCTCTCAGACCCTTCATTTATATCTGATACCCCAGGGTCTCCTAATCTGGAAGTTTAGAAATGAAAGATAAGTGTAATTACAAGCTAAGAGAGCATAGGGAAAGCAATTCCTACATCTGGGAGTGGAGAGGGTTGGGAAGAAGGGAAGGGAAGGGGTCTAAAATATGTTTCTGGAAGGCATTGTTTTCCAGGTGGAGGTGTCCAAGTGTAAACTTACGTAAGCTAGACAAAACAGCCTTGGCAAGGCAGAGAGACATGGAGAAGGTTGCTGTGACAGCCACATGAGGAGAGTTGATGTGTGGAAGTATGGAATGGGAGCCCCAGGGAGAATGATGGAAGGTAACACTAGGCAGAGGGCATGAAGGTCAACGAATGCTCGTAATGAGTTGGTTTTGTTATTTAGGCTTTGTGGAGACATCCAAGATTGTTAAATGGGGAGGGGGTGGTGAAAAGATAGAATCTCTATTTCAAAAAATATCACTCTGACTACCCTGAGGTTGGCTTGGAGGGAGTATGCAATAGCATCAGCCTGGAAGAGCCAATCCTTCCATCTGTCACAGCACAGTGGATGTCTATCATCCCATTAACAGCCATTCATTATTTTATGGCTGAGGAGTGTCTCCAAGAAGTCAGATACAATAAGGAGAATTATTTGCATGGTGTGTGTATGTTGGGGAGTAGGGGACTCACAAGGGTGCAGAGAAGGGGACTCAGAAGGGTGCAGAGAAGAACGCACAGGATGTTTAATCCTGATAAATACAGGAGAATGCAGTCTGTGGGCTTCACTCTGGAAGAAAAGATGCTTATGAGGATATTGCTGAGAAGCAAAATTATATGTATACACCATAGGCAGAGCAGAGACAGGAGAGAAGGAATCCAGAGAGATCAGAAGATCTTATCCTGGACTTTGTGCTACGAGAAGGAGGAACTGTGCTTGGTTGGTCTATTTGCTTGTTCTGATTTTGGCATTTCTCTGGGCCCTGTTCCTGCTGCTTTGCAGAGAGGAAGGTAGTCACTGGCAGATACACCTCTCCTTCTGACTGGAATCCTCTGTTCTTGGTTGAAGGCCACAGTTGAAATCTAGCCTCTTCTGCCCTGTGCTGGATAAGATGGCAAGGGGGTAAGAGCTTGCTTAGCAGCTTGAATGGAGAACTGAATGCTGACTTTCTAACATTTTTTACTTGTTCTTGTGGCCCAGGGCCTTTAAGAGACTGGTATGGAGGGGGACTCTGGATATGGAGTTCAATTGACTAATACTCTGTTTTGTTTCCAAGTTCAGAAATATGCACAACCATGTCCTGATCTTAAGAATTGTAAATTCATTCTCTGGTCTCCAGAGCAAAGGAGTTACCAGAAAGCATTCCATCACTATGAAATCCTAATTGTGGCCCCAGGTCATTAGATTTCATAAATCAGTGTGCCTGAGTAATGGCTTAAGAGACTTTATTTTCAGGACAACTGATGCGATTATGAGAAAAGCTCCTAATGACTGATATATCATGGCAGTATCTTAATTACCAGAGAATTCATAGGAAGCACCTGATAGCTCTACAGATGATTTGATTAGAAACCACATTTTAAAATCTCTTCTCAATGAGTCAGTGACAGCATCCTTTGGGAGCCAAGTCTTAGTGTATAAGGTCTCATGCACAAAAAAATCTCAATGTTGAAGATAAACAAAACTCTGTTAAAACCACAGCTTTCAATATCTAGTCTTAAGAAAATGGTCACATTTTCTGGACTAAAAGCTTCCAGGCTAAGGAGAAGCTGAAATTAAAATGCTATTTTAGCTGCATTTTTTTGTTATTCATCCATCACTGTAGCTAGAGGTCATGGAAATCCCATGGCACGGTATATGAGGTCCCATACCACATGACACCAACCTATTCATTCACGTATATATTTAGCAACAAATAGCTACTGGGCCCCTGGAACAGCTACGTGCCAGGTGCTTTACTGGATGTTAAAGCAGTAACAATGGTGAGCAAAAACAAATATAGTATCTTGCCTTCTTAAGCTCACAACTTTTTTAGAGCAGCTATACCTCATCAGTAAATTACCCAAATAAATATAAAAGAGCAGATATTGGTGCAGTGAAATAGATAACTTGTGAAATTGACATATATTGATCAGAGAAACCTGGCTTTCTGAAAAAAATAATTATTGGGCTGAGACCCAGAAGAAGAGTGGGGAATAGTTGTTTAGTGAGGGATGGTTAGGGCAAGGGTTGGGTAGCAGGAAGTGAAGGTGGGGACTGCATTTGGGGCACAGGGAAAAAGGCACAAAGGGCCTGGGGCAGAATGGAACTGGAAAACTGTCGTGTGGTTGGAGAGCCATGGGAGTATATGTTAATATATAAAAAAGTAACTTATTATTAACGACCGTGGGTGCTATGCAGGCAGATAAATAATTCAGACAATAAATGTTAAAAGAGAAAAAGAGCTGGAATAGTTTCAAAGAGTATCAAGTGGGCTGGAATCTGGCTTGAAAGGAATCCATAAGGGGGTGTGGAATGGGAGGTGGGTGGCATTTAACTGAGGCTCGAGGTTTTAGAAAGGGCCCTGGGGAGAGGTGGGGTGTGAATTGAGAACCGAAAGACTGGGAACTAGTCATGAAAATTGGTCAGAGGAGAGTGAAATAAAACGGTGCCGCTCAGGATGGCTGGGGTGAGGTACATGGTGAGGGCCGGTACAGAAGAAGAGGCTGGGGAAGTAGGTGCAGGCCAGGTAATGAGAGGCCTTGAAGGTCAGCAAAGGACTTGCAGCCTGGAGAGAGCCAAAGAATGAGAGAATGGTAGGCATTAGGAAGTGTTGAACCAATGGGGAGCTGGAGTGGATTAAACACAGTCAATCCCATTTATACCAGTCACAGCAGATTGGCATAAAACCTATACCAATAAAGGCTATTGAATAAAACCTATCTGCACATCTCTAGCTTCTCCCCTTGAACTGGAAAGTGGTGTTTGTGAGAATGAATGGACAAAGCATATTTTACCTGGAAAGGGGAAGGAGAGGCGTGAGTGTGTGTGCATGTACGTGTGCTTGGGTGTAGAGTACAGGGTGTAGAGCCTGAGAAATGTTTTCAAGTATGTGACAACCTCTGGATCTGGGATGAATATGCCCTTTGAAATCCCTTCAATGGCTACTAGAATGGAAACTAAACTCCCCCAAGAGTTCAAGTCTTTTATTCCCAGCTTTCTAGATGCCTTTCTCACACGCACATGTTCTCACTTGTCACTCCAGTCAAAGTAGGTCACCTGGCATCTCACTTCCTCATATGGCTTTCCTCACCTGGATTGTTTTCTCTCAGACCCCACCCATCTAGCTATCCAAATCCTTCCAAGTACTGCCTGAAATATTACTTCCAGAAACCCTCCAGATCTCCTACCAGAAGGCTCCCCTGTTCTTCTGAACCCATATGGTATTTGTACCCCCTTGTGTCTTATATATGGGGGAGAGTGTCTGAATCACAGGCCCTGATACAGATTTAACAGATATTCGGTATATATATTCAAGTGAATGATTTTGAATAAATCAACAGATATTAGCATTTGTGTTCCTCTTTTCTTTTTACTTGGAGTAAGGTCCCAGGAGATGTCTTACTCCTCTCTGTAGCCTTCACAGTACAAGACAATAAAAAACACACAAAGAGGTTTAGGTGCTGTGCTTTTTGCATGGTTTAAATTAATGAATCAATAATTCAGACTCAAAGCAAATTTGATGACATCATTCAGTGGTTCTCAATTTTGGATGGAATTGTTCCCCTGGAGGTGCGTGTTTGGGAATGTGTAGAGCATTTCTGGCTGACTTAGTTGCAGGTGGGGGTACTACTTGCATTTAGTAGCAGGGATCAAGAATGATAAAAACCCTGCAACCCAAGGCAGAGTCCAGCACAACAAAAAAGTTATTCCACCTGCACCATTAAAGAAGAACTGCCTGCTCTAAATGATATTGAGAGAATAGAAAATGTTTTGAACAAAATTGTAGACACTTCTCCTCTGGGGAAATTAAAAGAGAACAAGAGAATGTTGTCCTGATGGCCTCTCTCAACCCTGCCCAGCCCTGACATACTAAACTCCTGGGGAATGTAAAATTCAGGCCAAATGATCCAGACACAGGAGACCCACCCCTTTGGTTCCTGCAGGGGCAGCCTCAGCGTTCCTTGCTCCCATCAGAAAGGTCTTAGGGCCGAACTGCGCTCCCTCTGGCCAGGAGAGAGGCTGTCCCTCTGCGTGTATTTTACTCTCAGGGTAACAACTCAGAGAAAATGTGGACATTTGCATTGGCACTCAGGTGCTGTCATAAGGCCTGCCGTCAGCCTGTCCTAGAGTCTTTTTCTTTTTCTTTTCTTTGAACTAAGTAAACAGCAGGAGTCAGCTATAGGAAGCAAGCTATGAGGGGTGGAGGAGATTTGAGGTGGTGTCAAGGATAAGGGTGACAGAATGTCTGAAAGGAGAAGTGACAAACTTGGCTGACTTTGGAGCCCCTTCCCAAATCACCAGGCTAAAACTGACCACTGCCTCTCTTACGTTATATATAGAGTTTCATATAAATATATATGAATACAAGTATTATATTTATGAGATTATATATAAATACAAGTATTATATTTACAAGATTATAAATATACATTTACTAATATAAAAATATATAGTTATAGTCTCAATCACAAATAATTTCATGACAATGTATTTTGATATACAATATTATAATAATATCAGTACATTATTAGTGTATTAATTTAACAACACATTAATGTATTAATACATTAATATATTAACATATTAATATATATTATAATTGTTATATTAATGTTTATTATGATGAATAATTTTGTGATTCCTGCTAATCTTGGAGCTCCCGGAGAATACTGAAAATATTTTATTTATTCCTGTATTCCCAGTACCTAGGAGAACACCTGTCCACTTCCTCCATTCATATACATTTCTGTTTTACTCCAAAGTACATATGATTTTACAATTATGCTTTTGCCACAATTTATAGCACAAAATCTTGACAGCAGTGACTATACTGTACTCCCTTCTGTGTCCCCTGAATCAGAGTTCCATATACCCAAGAAATGTTCAGCAAATTTTGGTTGAATCAAATCAAACTGAAGACGTAAGAATAAACAGCATTGAAATCTCTAGTCTGAATGATCAGATGCACGATAGTACCATAGAAAAATATATATATTTAAGAAAAAGAACTATGTGAGCTAAAGGAATAAAGGGGTTCTAACATATTTCAGGAAATTAATTAAACACCCTGGAAGGGAGTGAGTTTTTTGACAAAAGGAAATGCTTAGGCAGGGGGGGCAATTTTGACAGAAGAGATTTAGAGACTTAACCATCGATTTGTAGCAAATGGACTAGTTCCAGAACTTTGGGAGGCCGAGGCGGGTGGATCACGAGGTCAGGAGATTAAGACCATCCTGGGTAACACGGTGAAACCCCGTCTCTACTAAAAAAATACAAAAAAAAAAAATTAGTCAGGCATGGTGGCAGGCACCCGTAGTCCCAGCTACTCAGGAGGCTGAGGCAGGAGAATGGCGTGAGCCCGGGAGGCGGAGCTTGCAGTGAGCCGAGATCACACGACTGCACTCCAGCCTGGGCAACAGAGCGAGACTCCATCTCAAAAAAAAAAAAGAAAGACAGTAGACTAGTTGTCCAGGGCCATTGATTAGAAACATCCCAGAAGCAAATGGAAAAGGAAATGTTCAGAATGTAGATTCAGTCACAGTCTTAAGAATACCCTGTTGATAGGTACAGCAAACCACTATGGCAAACGTTATCCTATGCAACAAACCTGCACATCCTGCACATGTGCCTGGAACTTAAAATAAATTAAATTAACAAAAGAATATCCTGCCTTGACAGGCTAGTCCAGAATGATGCGCTGAAGAAGGCACTAGGAATACAGAGAGAAATAAAATACATTACCTACCTTCAAATTATTCCTAAAGCTATCTGTTTCTCATGGTTTTATAAGCCAAGATATTCTATTTGAACTCTTTCAAGTTAGACTTTTACAATCTAAAATTAAGGAAATCTGGGTTAATGTAAACATTTACCATTGTTTTTCTCAACATATCATTTTTTTAAAAAGGCTTTTGATTTCTTGAATGAAATATAAAGAAAACCCATTGTCTTGAAGAGAAGGTTCATTAAATATTATCTCCTTTTCTCTTCTCTTTAACTAAGTACTTAGAGGCCTGGCAATTCCCAGGTATGTTTGAGCAAGTTGATTGGTCTCAATCAGTGGATTAGAAATTAGGCTTTTAAAAATACATAGAGATTATTGATTGTCTAGGATGTTTGTTCTCAATTAACAAGGAGCAAGAAGACCTGAGGAGAGAAAGGCCAGTGAGGAATCTTTCTTCTCTCCTTCCACTAATGGCCCTGTTCTGCCTCTTTGAGACGATCATTAAAACTTCACACAGCTTATCTTTGTTTCTTATTCTGAGTGAAGGGAGGAGTCTGTGGGCATATAAACCAGACAGTCCTTTCGTTACTCTACAGCCAGAATGATAATAGCATTGCTTAACCGGTTCGTATCTCTGAGTTTCATTGTCTGTCTCTCTTAGGATTTAAATTAGTTTTGGCAGTAGCATCTCTTTCTTGACAAACACTGTAAACATCATAACCATCTTCTGCAGTCATCATAATACTAACTCCTCATTGCCTGATGACAATAGTAATCATAATCATGATTTAGGTATAAATGTGCTTTCCATGGAATGTATCAACTTGCTATCTTCAGTAGATTTCTATGGCCCCTTTAGAATTTTGTGTCTCAGTGAGTGTGTTTACAGTGATGCTTATGAAAAAGAGTTCACCAATTCCAGCCCCAAATAGTTACATTTCTGTCTGATTATTCACATTTTTTCTGTCTTCTAGGAAAGTGCATGGTCAGATTTATCTTGTTTGCTCTTCTGGAAGCCAAATTTAGGAGAATGTGTATTTGAAAGATAGCTGATCAAATGCTGAGTCATCTAAAATACATTGTCAGAGACATCTGAGTTTTGGCTTTAGCTGGAAGTTCTTCACATTGGTCTGTCTTCCCACACAAAGACAAGTTAAAAATGGGCCTGATCATTTAGGCTGACAAATATAATGGCCTGAAAAATAGCACTTACTCTATTCCAAATATTGTACCAAGACTATTGTAAACATCATCATGCTTTCCCCCACAACGACTATGTCCATTTTATAGATGATGCTGTTGAGGCTCTGAGAGATGAACTGCCCAAGGCAGCTGCTAATTATGGAGCCAGGATTTGAAGTCTAGAGTCTACTCTCTTCATTTAACAGAATGAGTTCTCCCTGACTCTGCACTTGGTACATTCCTCTAGCAGAGTCAGTCTCACAATGGACTTTCATTGTTTACTTAAGCTTTGCCTCCTCTACCAGGTTTGCTAATTTCTTGACCATCAGTGGGGACTCAGTAAATATTTGTGCAAAAATGGAACGAATGCATGAAGGAAAAAATGAGTATATGAATGCAAGACAAAACACATAAAATAAATGGATATTTTTTTCCTAGATTCTTCTGTGACTCTTTCCTTAGACTTTTTCTGATTTGCCTCTCCTTAGATGTAATGGATACTATGCATCATCATTTATACAATTTAGTGAACCTTTACAGAATGGAATTCTGTGCAAGTCCTTTTGATGCAAAACTAACTTAGGCCAAACCCTGCTCCCAAATGCTTATTATGTAGAGAGACAGGCAGGAACATAATCATCCAACTACGGTTGGTATGTGGCAAACAGAGGTTTGTGTGAAATATCCATCTGAGCAGGACTGAGGATCTGAAGATCTCACAGGGCAGGTAGTGCTTGAATTAGGCCCTGAAGGATGAGTGGATTTCAGAAAATTAGTGCTTCACCACCAGAGGATTTCCTTCTTTCTTTCTCTAGGGGTTCGACAAGGAAGGGGTTAAGAGAGGCCATGGCAATAAGAACTGTTTATGGCATACAAGTTAAGCCAGAGTGACATGACTCAAGTACATATGGAGGCCCTATATTCTGGAGTATGAATAAACTGCCCACAGCACCATGACTGTCTCTGAGAGCATCTTTTTATCTCTAGGAGAAACAATCCACATTCTTTATTACAGTGTCCTCGGCAACTTCTCCTGCAGGGTATAGCCCTTCCTCCTGTCAACTCTTAATAGAAGTGATTTGTTTACATTTAGCAGGAAGGGAGGAGACAAGGAACTGCATCTTATCATCCAGTCTGCCCCTGCCTTTCAGAGGTATCCACTGCCATGTTATAACCATGGAACCCAGACACTCAGAGCAAAGCAGACACCTAGGCTGGCCATATAATCTTCCTCTCCCAAACTCCATTCATCCTGGGTGGAAAATGGGCCAAGTGAGATACTCATCTGGTTAAGACCCAATGGCATGACAAAGCGAGGCAAGCAGGGGCAGGGAGACTGCAGGGAGCTCTAGGTGCTTGGGAGTTTGTCCACATGCCTAGAACCAACCAAGAAGCTTGGGGATTGGGGCTTCAAGCCAAAGGGTACTGATGACAAAAGATGAGATTAATGTCTTCCTGGACTCCTGTCACATTCCAATTGGAAAACTGCATCGATGACTATGGTGTTTGGTCTCTTGCTGTCTCACGAGCTGCAAGATGGTCTTGATTTCTTCCGGCATAGTGACAGTCCATGCTGTAATGCTGGTCTTCATCATCTCTTGCCTTGAGTGTGACATTAACCTCCTCAGTGTTTTTCCTGCTCCTGCTTTTATCCACCCCAAACCCATTCTCCACATTATAAAAAAAAAATTATCCATCATCTTCCTTTTAAAATCCATCACTCTCTTTACATCATATGCAGAAGCACTGTCCACAGAAATTTCTACAATGATGGAAATGCTCTTCATCTACTCCAGTATGGCAGCCACTAGCCACAAGTGTATACTGAGCTTTGAAATATAGTTCATGCAACTGAGAAACTGAAACTTTAATTGAGATTACTTTCAATTACTTTATATTTTAAAAGTCACACATGTCTAATGACTACCCTATTAGATATTGTAAATCTACAGGATGGTGTCCGAGCCCTTGACCATCAGTGGAGACTCAGGAAATATTTGTGCAACAATGGAATGAATGCATGAAGGAAAGAATGAATATATGAATGCAAGACAAAACACATAAAATAAATGGATATTTTCTTTCCTAGATTCTTCTGTGACTCTTTCCTAGACTTTTACAATCTAAAATCAAGGAAATCTGGGTTAATGTAAACATTTACCATTGTTTTTCTCAGCATATCATTTTTTTTTTTTTACCCTGGCACTGAAAGCTCTTTATGATCTAGTCCCTATTTACATTATTTGTTTTATTTCCTATCTGGTTTTTCCACAAATAAGCTAAACTCTTTTTTTTAAACCTCTATGCCTTTGTGTCAGGTGCTCTAGATTTCAAGATTTCAAGATGGAGACTAAATGTTCATCTTCTGGGAAGCCTGTCTCAACTTCTTTTTCTCCATAGAATGAATCACTGCTTCCCCTATACTCTCAAAGATCACTGAATCTGCTTCTGTTATAGCATCTGTCACATTGTATTGCAGTTATTTGTTTACCTGGGCCTCTCACCCACTAGCCTGGGAACTCCAAAGAACAGGGATTAACTCTTATTCATCCCTGTAAGACTATCACCCAAGGAAGTACACATCAATAAATGCGTGGTGAACAGATGCAAACCTGCAGAATAAATTTATTATTTAATCAATCAGTGTTTAGTTCAAAGAGCTCCCTGAACTGACAGAGCCATTAGTAAACTTTTGCAACATCAAAGACACTGAGGACAGCCCATGATGTCAGGCACAGATTTGTATCCATGCAACGGTGCCTCTAGTCAACATGGAGGGTCAACATGGAACTTTCAAATTCACTTTACATCTGAAAACACTTGGACTTGGGTGGATGATGCTCCAGGCTGAGAGGTTAAGCTGAAAGACGCTTGAAACTTCAGATGCCTAGGATGAGAAAGCAGAATCCCAAAGCCTCTGGATGCTCAGAATTTTTTAATAGTTACTTATAAATGCTTTTAGGAACCTCGTTATTCTTTACACAAGAGTAAGAGGAGGGGAAGTATTAAATTTTCTTCTATAAAAGGTACTATTGTTGATTGAGATTCTACCATGCCACGTTATATCATTTGATCAAATGATACATGTAATATATATTATATATCCTTGGATCAAATGATATACATTATATCCTTTGATCTTCTTTAAAAAACTCTACGGCATTGCTATCTACAGTTTGCAGATGATAAAACAGGAGCTCAGAAAGGAGAAATGATTTTGCAAGGTCTCCCATATGGTAAATGGTAAAGACAGGATTAAAACCCAAGCCTAACTCTAAAACACAATTTCCCGGCTCCTTTTTTCATACAACTGGAGACAACACATGAAAACTTGTTTATATTTGGAGACACCTGTTGCCAAAGAGGTTTTATATTCCCCCAAAAACATCAAGAAAAATTAGAGTTGAAAATGCCTACAAGATAATCTTTCCTGCCTCCTATGTGTCACACTTGGGAAAATTGAAGCCCAGAGACAGACAAGCACTAACCCAATGTCACAGAGCTCCAATGGCACAGCAGGGACCAGGTTTCTTTCTTTTTTTTTTTTTTTTTAAGACAGTGTCTCATTCTGTCATCCAAGCTGGATGCAGTGATGCAATCACAGCTCACTGCAGCTTCAACCTCCTGGGCTCAAGGGATCCTCCCGCCTCAGCCTCTCAAGTAGCTGGGACCACAGGCATGCACCAACATGCTTGGCTATTTTATTTTTATTTTTTTTGTTTTGGTTTGGTTTTTATAGAGACGGGGTCTCACTACGCTGCTGAGGCTGGCCTTGAACTCTTGGGCTCAAGCGATCCCCCTACCTTGGCCTTCCAAAGTACTGGATTATAGGCATAAGCCACCATACCTGAATAGGACCAGGTCTCTAATCTCAGACCAGAATCTTTCCAGACTATTGCCAGTTTCATTAAAATGAAACTTCTGACAATCTCTTTGCTGTACATCACTGTAGCAGCAAGATTTTGGGGACACAAGCACATACCCTGCGGACCTCAGGGTCCACTGTGATACAGACACTCCAGAAAGCAGTTTGGTCATCTGCATCAAGGGTCTTAAAGCTGTTCAAAAGAATTGACTGAGTAACTGGTCTCACTTCCTGGAAGTCATCCTAAGAAAACGATCTGTGATGTGGGCAAAGATTGTCATTTCAGCCTTACTTATAACAGCAAAAACAAAACGAAACACCAAAAAGCAGCAAACTTACATGACCTCAAATCAAGATAACAATAGCTCCTAACATATAGGATTGTTAGAAGAAATAATTGATATGAAAGACACTTAACCCAGTGCCCGGCCCATAGTTAGCAATTAGTTAAATCAGACACCTCTGACCTTTCACATTTGTCACTTCTAGAGCCCATGGACAATATGATGTGAACCAAGCCAGACTAAGTAAGATAAATTCCTGGTTTGGAGGTTTGCAAAAATGAGGACTCAGAATTGGTCAAGTTTACTTAGGCTTCAGTTTATTATAGAACCAAGTAGCAAGGAATGTGCCAGTAATTACTCCAATAAGTGAACCTGCTGCTTAGAGCTTCCCTTTAATCTTCATAAAGGTATCTTCAAGTTATCAGTCTCCCCAGTCTGTGCAGAGTGAGAAACAGGCCAACTCACTAGAGCCCAGTTCAAAGCTTCTCCGTTTTCTCTGGCATTTTTGAAAGAATAAGAACTCAAGGGTCCATCCTATTACTAAAAGAGGAAGTTCTTGCCTTGTCCCTGTTACTACCCCATTTTCTCCTCTGATTTACGTTTTTCCTCTGTCTTCAGGCCTATTACTGGCAGTGGGCCTGTCCATGGCCTGACTCATGATACATTAGCAGAGACACTGGCTTTGAAGAGTTAAAAAAAATTCCCCTTCTCTTACTAAGAACTTTATTTAATCTAATTGAGCTCCTTTTTCTAGCTGCAAAACAGGATAATACTCTCTAGAGTTTGCATGAGGATCAAATAGTACAATATGTTTACAGAGAGCCTGACACCCAGCAGACTCTCTCAAAAGGAAGTCCACCGTTCTTGATCTTCAACAACTTGCGCAAGAAAAAGGAAAAATGAAAAACCTATGGAGCTGGTGCACACGATGGGGAAGCAGAAAGTAGGCACGAGTGACAGCAAAGACACCTAGAGCCCTGAGCATCCAGGCAAACGCGGTGGCAGAGTTGGATCAGTTGGATAATATTCGCCTAGCTTGTGAACCATTTTCACTTGTACTTCCTGTAGTATTGACATGTCAGTCCTGCGTGGTTCACCTTTTGCAATTGAGACCATGTAACTTACTGAGGTCATGGTGAGTACAGGGCAAATCCAGGACTCACTCAAACCTCCTATCTATCACTAGCTGTGCTATTGCTTCCACACTGAGTACTTCTGCATTAGACATGCCTGGAAGAAGGGTGCATCAGGAATATGGCACATAAGAGATTAGCATATTTGACCCTTGAACAATGCAGGTTTGAATTACGTAGGTCCGCTTATGTGTGAATTTTCTTCTGCCTCTGCGACCTCTGAGACAGCAAGACCGATCCTTTCTCTTCCTTCTCCTCAGCCTACTCGACGTGAAGATGATGAGAATGGAGAGGATGTATTTTCTCTTCCTTGTGATTGTCTTAATAACATTTTCTTTTCTCTAGCCTACTTTACTGTAAAAATACAGTACATAATACATATAACATACAAAATATGTGTTAATCAACTGTTTATTGGTAAGGCTTCCAGTCAACAATAGGTTATTAGTAGGTGAGTTTCTGGTGAGTCAAAAGGTATACTCTGATTTTCCACTCCATGGGAGTCAGCACAGTTCAAAGGTCA
The DNA here is from genome assembly GCF_000001405.40 of Homo sapiens. NCBI lineage: Eukaryota > Metazoa > Chordata > Mammalia > Primates > Hominidae > Homo > Homo sapiens. Next base: position 108,114,851 of record NC_000009.12, read on the forward strand.
ACCGGAATAATGAAAATGCAAGGGTCTATGGAGGTGATTTTGTGTGTTCTCTGGCGATACCCACATAGAAATAGCCTGGCTAAACTCAGAAAAGAGCAAGCAATTGTATGATATATATGCAAATGTACATATATATTTGTCTATCTATAGACATGCATCCAGAATATGAAAATCCCTATTATGGTTGATCTTTCTTCAATTTTCAACTGTGTGCTTTGGCAGTGGGTAATCACTGTAAAATATTCAGAAAAAGCAAGAATTAAGACCAAATATGACTGTCAGAGTAGGGACTAATTATCTGATTAATTATTTCATCCACTCATTTACTCAGCATCACTTTTCTGAGCATTTTTCTGTACTATGCTCTATGCTGGATCCTGCAGATAGAAATGAATAAGAAACAAAAGTCAGAAAAATTGTTTGTTCTTAAGGCACCTCCAGTTCTGATTTATTTATTAGAATGAGCATCACTGTCTCTGTGTATGATTAGGTCCAATAAACCATAACCATAATTTTTATTCCTAGAAACAGGCCAGATGACCCTTTCAGTATATTGGTATTCTCCAATCAACAACCTCAAGAGCTCATCAAACAGTATGAAAAGAGAAAGGGAGGAGGTCGGAGAAGAAGGCATAGATGAGCAAAGAGGGCTACAACTTCTCCATAATATGAGCATTGGAATTCCTTTTTCCTGGTCCAAACAGAAGACATAGCCATAAACCGAATCATGTTTTATTAAAACATATATATATGTTTATATATAATAGTTATGTATATTTTTTATAAATATATTTATATAAATATAAATATAAATACATATAAATTTATATATAGTTATATGTAATATACATAACTATTATATATAACTTTATATATAATATATATTATATATTAAGTTATATAATATGTATTATATATAAAGTTATATATAATATATAAATTATATATTGTTATATATATTATAAATAAATAAATATATATATAAAGTGATATATACATATAAAACTTTAGGCTCTATCCAAAAAGGATTTGAGTCTGTTTACAGTAAGGGCCAGGCATATGGAAATTCACTAAAAAATAAACAGTAAAGCAGAACCAAAAAATGAGAAAAAGGGAAAGATTGGGCGCTTCATAGGATAATATAATTCTCCTTGACATGGTGGAGGATCATACTGGGCTCTGAGTTTTCCAGCAGTGGCAAAAGTAGGAGTATAAAATTCTATAGCACTTATTCTCAGAGCAGCAAAAGCTCTAAAAGTTGATTAAAGAAGATAAAAGTGTTTGGGGGGATTATTGTACTTCTACTTTGTTGGGTTTTTCTTTTCCTTTTTCCTTGGGGCTGTATTTTTAAAGTAACACCTGATTTAGGACTTGACATAAAGAACATTGAAAAACACAAAGGACCAAGACCCTCTCCTTTGGAGTGTGAGCTTTCTGGGGAGGGACCACACTATTCTTCATTTTTAGATTCCTAGAGCGCAGGGATATGACTAGTTAGAAGCTCAACAATTGATTGCTGGATGAATGAATCAGTGTATCACAGACTAATTGTAGTCTTAACAGCAAATACCAAAGCGAATTTCCTACAACTGATACTGATAACAGTGTTTGCAAACATCTCAGTATGTGCTCTTAAAGAGCAGATCAATGAAGGTAAGGAATGTGACCGAAGTTAAAAGGTTTTCATTCATCTAATTTTGAGTGAATAAAAGTAGACCATAGGAGAGACAGCACAAATATTCAACCTGACCATGCCAGCATGGCTGACCCATTTGTTTGTAGTCAGAGTCCACTGTAATTGCTTGATGGATGTTGACTATTCCGAATATCCTCAGCAGAGGAGGAGGGTGTACCATTCTTTGCTTGAACTCTTTCTCATGAATTCACTTCTTTCATTTTAAACTATTTAAAAAATAATAGAAACCTTGATGACCGGGCGTGGTGGCTCACACCTATAATCCCAGTACTTTGGGAGGGTGAGGCAGGTGGATCACCTGAGGTCGGGAGTTCGAGACCAGCCTGACCAACACAGAGAAAACCCGTCTCTACTAAAAATATAAAATTAGCCAGGCATGGTGGCATATGCCTGTGATCCCAGCTACTCGGGAGGCTGAGGCAGGAGAATCGCTTGAACCCGGGAGGCAGAGGTTGCGGTGAGCTGAGATCACGCCATTGCACTCCAGCCTGGGCTCGAAACTCCATCTCAAAAAAAAAAATAATAGAAACCTTGAATGCCACTATATTATGCCACTGTATTACTTTACAGCGTGAAATAGAATATCAAGTGAAATGGATGCTTGTATATGCTCAAGAGCCCTGTCTCTTCTCACAGGTAGTTCTTCTATCTAGGAAGTCAAAGTGTAAGAAAGTTGCTTGATGACTCTAGAATCCGAGTTGGCAGAGTTTGCTGAATTTTCTTAATTATTGGGGGTGCTGTTGGGTTTGATCACTGACGTGTTCTCCAATGCTCAGAAAAAGTTCCAGCCGTACAGACTCTAGTGTGAGTGGGTCAAAATATCCTGTCTCCTAGGGCCTCACTACATTGGCCAAGGTATTTAGACAAAATGCATGAAAACCTATTGAAGTTTACTGAATATGCCAGACCTGATGCTTGTGCAGGCCACCCGTATCAGTAAGAAAAAAGTCTACCACCCCATCTTCTGGATTTGATAACTGCAACAGTAAATATTGGCACTCTACTAAAGTTCTTAGTCACTCTTATTTGCTTCTCCCTGAGTTTCCATCTAAGTAATAATATCAAACAAACAGAAGGAGTATAAGTTATGGCTGGTTTTGTTGTTTTTTTTTTTTTTTTTTTTCACAAGAAAGAGGAGAAACCATAAAATCTTTTAAAAAGCCTTTTACAGATAAATTGTTTCTAAGCACGACCACACTCCTGAAACACTCAATGAATGGTCTTGAGGTGCGGGGTGCTGCTGGAATTTATCCAAGACTTCAGATGCTGTGAGGATTGGCCATTATCCTTGCCAGACAGGCTTGTCCATCTTCCCATCAGTTGCAAGACATTTAATAAAAACAGGCTGCGTTAATTCATGCTTGTTTAATGGACTGCTCCACGGGGCCTCAACTGGGTAAGCCTGCAAGACCCAGCCATGCATGGCAAATGGCTAAGCAGATGGTTTCAGTTTAGATAGTGGCTGTCAATGGTTTGGTGCGAACAGCTCTTGCAAACCAGCATGAAGTGAACAGATTGCATGGTGGCTGGGAGAAGCATATGTAATTGGAAACAGTAGCCACTTACAATGGGGGCACATTTTCAATCTTTATCACAGTGGCTCCAGTTGGGAAAAAGAGAGTTGATTAACCAAATGTGTTCTTGGCTGTGATGAATCCAACATTAAGAAAATTTGGGTAGTGTCTCAGGAGGGTGTTGGGCATGGCTGGTCTGCTGCATTAATCAAGGATGTCTGGATCCCAGAACTAATCCTGTCCCTGGGAGACAGGGAGGCACTTGGAGAAGCAGAGAACATGCTCAAAAGAGCCAAATCAGCAAGCTGAAACTTGCAATAGCTGGAGTTACGGCAATAGAGAAGGTCAGGTAGTTTAGGCAAACTGTGTCCATGGGCATAAAAGACCAGAACAGGTAGAAATCCACATGGGTTATTTGGGGAAAGGAAGCAGAGGTGCATGATTTTTGGAGACCCTCACTGAGAGAGGACATATGAAGGTTTGCAGCAGATGGTATGGCTACAGCCTCCAGGTCAAGGCTACTTAAAAGACTGGATCTGAGAAGGAGTTGTATGGGCGAGACAGGGACATTTCTTAGGATGACAGTGGAATGAAAACATTCCCTGAGACAGAGACAGGGCAAATGGACCAAGGCAGGTACTGGACCCTGGCCTTAGAGCCAACTTTGCAGAAAATGTGGCTTCCATATTTATTGGCATTTATTGAGTAATTACCTCATCCTAGTCCTTGTGATAGGCTGGGGACACAGATCAATGAGACATGAATGATCTTCCTGACTCCTTTTGTCTATCACTCCTACTATTCCTCACCTCCGTCAGCACTTCTCTGCCCACCTCCTTGACTATATTAAATTCTCCTGCTAGTCAGTGTGCTGTGTAGTTGCTGTTCTTAACACCTGTAAGTTTCAATTTTTTTTTCATGTATTAGATTATGATTTTATTAACTCCCTTACTAGACTGCATGTACCGTGACATCGAGGAACACTTTTGGCTGTTTATTTGTTTTTTTAAATCAATGTATTTTGTGTCTCCCAGGGAGTGAACACTCAAGAATATTTGCTTAACTAATGTATGGATGAGTGAGGGGAAAAAATGATTTCCTTTTTTCTCTAACTGCTTAGAACCCAGGAAATAGTGACAATGCCAAAGTAGAAGACAACCCCAGGCTCAGTGCCCAACCTAGACCATGGGCAGTCAACGAAGGCCTCCTGGGGCAGGTGACCCATGGCTAAGGTTTGAAGCTTAAGGTGAAGTTGGCCCAGCAAAGATGGCAAGAAAAGCTGGAGAAACTTGACACAGCTCCTGAGAAATGAGCTGAAGCTGCTTAAATGCTTTCTGCCCAATGCTCCCTAAGTCTGGAAAATGGCAGGCAGAATGGAACCAGTGTTGGGTATTCCCTGGTTCAGCTATGGAGAGCACAGGGTAGAAGGACAGGGGTCTAGGTAAGACCTACATGGGATGGAGCACCATGAGAACAGCAGAGTCTTTCTCGAGGGAAATACTGTCTCTCTCCATCACAGTAAATGTAGAAATGACAGAGCCTGAGATCTGGCTGCCTGGATGCCATGAGGGCCACAGAGAGCTGCCCAGGCCTGCCCGAGTCCCCCCAGGCCCCAGGGCCTGACTCTATACTGCACTTTCCCACAGTGTTCTGTCTTAGGCCTGGCACCGTATTTGCTGTGTGTCAGGAAGGCCACCCAGCCTGAGGCACCCTTGGCAAGGAGGGTTGGGATTGTGGGGGCTGCCCACTGATAGCCTGGCTTGCTCTGATACTAAGGTGCTATCTCCTTGAGTCAATTTCCTCTGGCGATAACACTCGCCCCGTGTAAAGGGCCTATGTGAAGGAGCCATTCTTTTCCCTGCCCCTTTACACAGCCTGGCTCAGTCAGCTCTTTTGGCAAAGCCCGGGCTGCTGACGTGACAAGGTCACCCGGGACATGTGAGCTACACGTATGCAGGGCACTAAATCAAAGGAGGCTCAGTGCCATCTGGCCCAACACCCTCACTTGACAGATGAGAAAACTGAGGCCCAGAGAGAGGGCGAGACTAATTCAAGGTCCCACATAAAGCTACCAACGACAAGGCAAGAACCCAAGACTTTTGACTCCCTCTTCAAGTGCTCAGTCACCAAAGAAACAATGAAAGAAACCCAACATCATTCAGAACCACAGTTCATGGAGGGAAACAGTCAGGTAAGATCTCTGAATAGCAATCCTGCTGTTGGAACCCCTCACCACACTAAGGCACCTAGAGACGCAGCTATGTGTGACTTTGCACAAATTGCTTTTTCTCTCTGAATCTGTAATAGAGGGACAAAAATGATCATGGTTGTCACATTGTCCCTGATTATGAGACATTCACTTAGAAAGATATGCATCCCAAGCCAATTATAGTACAGGATGAGTATACTAGAGATGCATACAAGGTACCCAGTTTGTTCATGGGCTGACAGTTTGTCCAAGGGAGAACCTGGAAGGGCTTCTCAGAGCAAGTGGCACTTTGGCAAGGTTTTTAAGCAGCTCGTCCCATAGGTGAAGATAGTGGACAGTCAGAACAGAAGCAGCAGCGTGCACCCAAAAGCCTGCTGTGGGAACTCTCCATCTTGTGTTGTGATGAGAATGTCAAGTGCAAAGAAGTGCACAGGGGCTGACACATGGGACTGAACAGGAGTCAGAGTCCAGATCTTGATGGTCAGGGAGATGGTGGTCAGATCTGAATTAGAAACAATCACTCTGGGGCTGGGTATGGTGGCCCAAGTCTGTAATCCTAGCACCTTGTGAGGCCAAGGTGGGAGGATTGCTTGAGCCCAGGAGTACGAGACCAGCCTGGACAACAAGGCGAAACCTCATCTCTACGAAAAATACAAAAATTAGCCAGGTGTCGTGGTGCACATCTGTAGTCCCAGGTACCTGGGAGGCTGAGGTGGGAAGATTGCTTGAGCTCAGGAGGTTGAGGGTGCAATGAGCAAAGATTGTGGCACCGCACTTCAGCCTGGGCAACAGAGTGAGACCCTGTCTGGAAAAAAAAAAAAAAAAAGAAGAAACACTTTGGATCCTGAAGTTCAAGTCATCATCAAGTGAAATATACCTATCTGAAATTTGTTGTGAAACCTCAACTGAATAATTCATTTTCAGCATATCTAACTGAATAAATCTAGTTTGTCCACTTGAATTGTGTCATTTTTATGTTTGAGTTTAATAGTTTTAAGAGAGCTACAAGTGTAAGGAGTGTATAGCTACTTTTATGTCAGCATACATTTAAATAGCGCTAAGTCAAGTTTTTAAAAAGTTACACTGGAGGTTGCTATGAAGGATGGAGTGTTGGAGACTGGACTAGGGTCAAGAAGACCAGCCAGGGGAAATTTGTAATTGTGTAGGTGAGAAATAGTCCCTGAGACAGAATACAGTGCATGGCTTTAAAACGTGGGCTCCTGTGTCACGCTATCTGGGGACAACTTCAGTTTCCAATCCTTATGATTTAATTTGGACAAGTAAAATCATTTCTCTAAACCTCAGTTTCCTCTTCTGTAAGCTGGGGATAATAATACAATGGAACTATTTCATTGGATGAAATGAATTCTAATGATTAATAATAATTCATATAAAGTATTTGACATGGAATTTGGCCAAAGTATATGTTCAATAAAAATTAAAAGATAAATTCACAACAAACAAAACCACCAAAAAACACAAAGATGGAACCAAGGGCAATGTACACTAGATAGTCTTACATCGAAACGTAATTTTAGTGCCGAGAGAAAGAAAACTGGGAGAGGAAACCTTTGGAATGGAAAGTTCTAAGACCTCCCATGACTCACCTCCAGAGCCCTGTGTTGGGCTCCTTTCTGAGACCCTTTAGGGTGCTCTGTGATGAGAGTTAGGGATGTAAAACTGCAACTGGGTGTTGTCTCCAAACTTCTAATAACCTCAGCAGGGAAGACACCAGGTTCAAGAGGACCAAGAAGAAACCCAGAGCCAGCAAACAAGACATGGGGTTTCATTATGGGTTTACATACAGGGGAGAGAGTCCAGTTGAGGCAGAGGAATAGGGTCTGGAGGCAGGGAACCTAAGGCCATTTCACGCCAACTTCCTAGAACTAAATTGAAAAGAAAACTCTAACTTTTCACTCCCAAGTAACTAAAAGACCAGAGGCTACTCCCTTTGCAAATCCCCCACCTTTTCTGTGTGGCAGATGGGAAATTGGCTTGCACAACCAAGCTGACTTATTGTGGACTGAGTCTTCCTTTGCATAGAAGTACAACTTTGTAACTTCACCTTAGCCTCTGATTGCAAAAATCAACCAATCAGATGTTTGCACAGGAGTGTGACCTTTGTAATTCCACTTCATCCTCTGGCTGGTTGCTTTCTGCAACCAATCAGACTGATTGCAGGCCACCACTTCATTTACATGAGGTGAGCATGAGGTGGCCAATGGGAAATCTCTAGGGAGTATTTGGACCTGAGAAGATTCTGCATCCGGGCCCTTGAGCTGCTGCTGCTTGGCCCGCTCACACACTGTGGAGTGTACTTTCATTTTCAATAAATCCCTGCTTGCTGTCTTTCATTGACTCATTCTTTCCTTGCTTTGCTGCACGTTTTGTCCAATTCTTTGCTCAAAATGCAAAGAACCTGGACAACTTAAGTCAAGACCCTCTACCTGTAACACAGTGGTGTGAGTTGGACAAGATAACCGCATAGCCCAGTGGCAGTGGGCTGGGCAGAAAAACTGCAATCACCTGCAAACATCATCCGGTTTATAGAGCGTTTTCACTTAACACCCTCCCCATAATGACCTCCATCTAGCAACCTTTACTTAATCCGAAACTCAGTGCCTCAATCCCCTTACAGCCCCATGTTCCACAGGATGGGGTGCAGCTCAGATGTTTCTCATAGACAAGGAATACATCTTTGAGTTGGCCACTTCCAGATTCCCTAGCTCAGAACACACATTCACATGCGTCTGCCATACAGGGTCATTCTAAGTGTTTGCTTAGGTTATTGCTATCAGATGCGTTTACCCCATACCGGGTGGAAATGATGCCTTTGCATCTGCAACTGGGCCTCACTTCAGAGTGTAACTGACTGACTGCTGGAAGTTTCAAAAACAGAGTGAAGGATCATTTGGCTTCTGTTGAAATACGAGATTCATTTAAAAGTGAACACTTCACAGGGCACTGCTTTGGTCGAAGTAAGATGTTTCTAAATACTTTGTGCTACAAATCTTCAGGTCTCCTAGACTGGGGCTTGATGTTTTTCATCCAGTGTCCATCTCTGATTTCTCTCCTTCTGCCCTATCCCAGGAAGTAGTCTCCTGAAAATTTAGATGTTAAATGAAGACATTCCTGTCATACTCATGTTTGAACATTTAGGGAAAAGAGCATTGAAGGGCTGCCTTTGGTCCTACCCAGATTTTATTATTTTAACACCCTTGATTTTTGTCACAAATTCTATTTTCTATAATTTCATTAGAGTTGGGGGAAAGTTCCAGTTTCCTAGCTTAAATGAGGATAAATGTAAACAGGTAGACCTTGATTATTCCTTTGTAGTAGAAGGACATTCTGCCTCTACTCAGCTTGAATGCAGTTTCCAGGTAACTGAAGAAGTGTACTCTCTAAGAACTTGGAAATCTCTAATTTGGAAATTAAAGACACCTGGATTTTATTCACTTATTCATTCATATATTGAAAAGCTATTTACTGAACTTTAGCTTTTCCTTTTTTCATACTCCTTACTTTGTGCTGGATTTACAACAGTAAATCAGCTAAGATTAGAATTCAGGGCCTCAAGGAGGGAAGGAAGGGATTAATCAATTTCAAATAATAACAATACAATTGCATTTAATCTTGCAAATAGGCTAAGTGGAAGCATACACAGCTCCAAGAATGTTTATTAGGGAAATCTGATCTTATCCTGGGGGGTCAGAATCGCAGTTCTGCCACTTTCTAATCACATGAGCTTCTAAAAAAAATTTAAATTTCTGGAGCCTCAGTTTACCCGTCTGTAATCCAGGGTCTGTCTTCCAGGACTATGGTGAGGATTCTAGGAGATAAAGTGTGAATGTGCCAGCACAGGAAGAGTCTGTGGTAAATGCTCGGTTAATCTCTTCCTTTTGTCGTTCCTTCCTTGAGCTTATATAATACTTAGGTAAAAAACAAATTATTTTCAAAGCTGTCTGTTTGGAAACGACAGAGGGAGGAATTAGTCTACATTTTTGGACAAACTATATTATTGCAAAAATATTCTCTCTCTCTCTCTTCTTAAATAACTCTAGACGTGGGCTCCAGGACCACAGAAGGAAAGCCGGGTAGAAGGAAAGCACCTGGGGCCCTGTATCTGGAAACAAACTCTTGCTACTATGCAAAGGCAGTTCACAGCACTCAGATCCCATTCATCTCTAGTAATAGCCCAGTGGTGCACTATATGCATTTCCTGTGTATCCCAGCCAGGAAATGGGAATGGGATAGTGTTACTATTTCACCAAAGCACCTCCTTTTTGTCACCGGTAACTGAGACAGAGCACTAGGGGACAAGTCACTCTATGATCACCAACTGTGGACTGAGGTAGTGGATTTAAAGCAGCTCTTCCATAAATTATGGCCCAAACCAAACAAAAAACACCATGCATGAAAAAAAAAAAAGACTGAAAAGAAATATACTAAAGAATAAGAGTGGAAAACATAACTCGGTTTTTCTGCTCCTTTTACTTCTCCATATTTTCCTAAACATTATAAATAACACATACTACTTTTAACATGTTGAGATAAAAGCAGTTTTTTTAAGACATTCAACTGTGACCACATAGATAGACAAGACAGAGCATATTTTAAAAGCCTGATATTGAGTCCAGCACGTACACCCCATTCATTGTCCCAAAACAAGATTCCAATTCTGAGATATTATCTGAGCAGTGGCTCCTCTGACTCTTCCTACTTTCCCTTCCTCTCCTATGAGTTTGCTCCTGTAAGTCCTGAAATGCGTCTCTTATTCCACTTGTTATACTGTTTGTATCTCTTTACTATTGAAGTGTGAGTTCTTCAAGTTCAAACATCTTGTCTTGTTCAATTTTTTTAGATCTCCTATACCTAGGACAAGACAACTACAAAATAATATAATAATGACAATAATAATGATGATGACAACAACAGTAGAAGGAGGAAAAAGGGGGAAAGGAACCAATATTTACTGCCTATGCTATAGGTCCATCCATGAATAATCTCATTCAGTCTTTAGAACTGACAAGTTGGATATGTTATTTCTGATTGACAAAAATTAGACTGAAAATTACAATTTTTTTTTCTGATTTACATGTGTTATTTCTGATTTACAAAAATTAGACATGATATCAAGTTCTGAGACAAAATTGAAGTCACAGGCTAAGTAACCTACCTCCTAAGGTCTCTTAGCTGTGTCACTGGGATTCAAACCCACAGCCCAGGCTGCTGTGCTTTGCAGTGTGTGCTGTGCTTATGCTGCTGACCAGTGACACAATTTGGCATTAAACAAAATTATTTTAAAAAATTGAATGATTAATGAATGTCCTGGGTATCGGGCAGATCATACAAACATAAGGGGCAAAGAGTCCAATAATAAGAGATGAAAAAGTTAAACGCCTTTGGAGTCCAAGTAGTGAAGGGGGACCAATGGAGTCTGTAGTGACAGTGAGACTGCCTGTCTCACCCATAGGGGGCACCTGCGAGCCTGTACGCACACTTTTTTTGGACCTCTTTAAAAGAGGATCATCAAGACCTAATAGTGTGAAAGAGAGAAATCCTGGCTAAACCTAAACAGAACTATTCTTCTTAAACGCACTTCTGCATTTTGGAGCACTTCAAAGTTTCTAGGAGGAGGAATTGGAAGTTGGCATCAGAGCCCCATTGACTGTTGACTACTTGTTGTAGATATTTATATTTAAATTAACAGTATAGCAGCATGCATCAATTCTGAGTCCCATATGTGGATGCAGGAATCTTCAACTGATGCTTCTGATGTCTTCAAAAAATCTGGGATACGAATATGAGTATAAATGAGTACAAGAAGCTTCATTCCAGATCAACAATTCTTTTTATAAACGAGCAACCTCAGCAGGTGTTTTCGGCTTGTATGTGTGTCTCATTAGCCAGGAAACCAAGGTTTCCAACGCAGGCTCTTGTTGAGTTACCTAGAATACCACAGTCTCGACTTCTAGTGTTATTTCTCAAACTTTGCACTGAGGTCAGTTCTGAATCTTGGATTAAACCACTAAATTTTTATTAGGTTGGTGCAAAAAAGTAATTGTGTTTTTTGCTATTAAAAGTAATGGCAGGCTGGGCGCGGTGGCTCATGCCTATAATCCCAGCAGTTTGGGAGGCCAAGGCAGGCAGATCACCTGAGGTCAGGAGTTCCAGACCAGCCTGGCCAACATGGAGAAACCCCGTCTCTACTAAAAATACAAAAATTAGCCGGGTGTGGTGGCGCGCATCTGTTACCCCAACTACTTGGTAGGCTGAGGCAGGAGAATCGCTTGAACCAGAGAGGCGGAGGTTGCAGTGAGCCGAGATCACGCCACTGCACTCCAGCCTGGGCAACAGAGCAAGGCTCCGACTCAAAAAAAAAAAAAAAAGTAATGACAATTACTTTTATAGTAATATGCTCTAATTGCATTTATTAGTGGTTATGTTATACTATCTTAAAATTGTTAGTTACGTATTCACTTTCCTAGTAACACAAGCCCTTCTGTCAAGCAAGGGCTTTCTCTTTTTATCTTTGTTTGCAACAAAGGACTACAAATATAAAAGTGCTATTGAAAGAAATGGCCAAAACCACAATTACTTTTTTGCACCAACCTAATAATTGACTGAAAACTACAATAATTGGATCATTTTGGATGGAGAGAAATAATTGAGTTTCTTACAAGGTTTTATCAAGTGCAGTCTATTCCAGTCAAGCTAGTAGACCCGTGCCAGGTAGTTTTGAAAAGTAAATATGAGTTTAAAATATTATTTCATTAGAAAAGAATAAAACAGTAAATAACTAGACCTAATTAATCAAAATTGTCATAGGAAAATCAGGTTATACCATTGGTTGTATTTTCTTATCTATTTAATTCAGGGAAAGTTCTGAGAGCAATATAGATTTAATTCAAATTTCTGTTTCTTCTATATGTTTAACTCATTCACTATCCACTGGGCTTCTACTCTGTGCCAGGTGCCATGCTATGCATTATGTATTCAGGAAGTGACATAAACACTTTCTCTGCATTAATATGCTTATAGCATAATAAGGAAGCTAACTGACAACTTGATTGTGTGAGATTATAATGGGAAGAACCTGGCCAACTTCTAATTATTCTTCAAAATAGCCCAGCTGCCACCATCTCTAGGCGGTTTTCCTTGATCTGAAGAAGGAATAATTCATTTCTAATTGCATTTATTACTGCATATGCTATACTGTCTTCAACTTATTGGTTACATATGCAGCTTTCTACAAACATTTTGGCAATTTTAGATTAACCAAAAGGGTGATGGGAAAGTAGAGAAAAACACAAATAGATTTAAATTCAGTAGAATGACCGCTTCCAAGTATCTCATGACTTTCTTCTTATCACCACAAAAATTTCTTGCGAGAGTTTTATTCTTATATTGCTGTATCCACAACGCTAGGAACAGTATCTGACTAGTAATAGCTATTTTGTATATGAGGTTTAATTAGACATTAAAGACAAAGAATAAAAAAAAAAAAGGCTAGGTGCAGTGGTTTGCGTTTGTAATCAGCATTTTGGGAGGCCGAGGCAGGTGGATCACTTGAGGCCAGGACTTCGAGACCAGCCTGGCATACATGGTGAAATCCCATTTCTGCTAAAAATACAAAAATTGGTGGAGTGTGGTGGAACGCGCCTGTGGTCCCAGCTACTTGGGAAGCTGAGACAGAGGAATCACTTGAACCCAAGAGGTTGAGGCTACAGTGAGCCGAGATCATGCCACTACATGCCAGCCTGGGCAACAAAGAGAGTGCGACTCTGTCTCAAAAAAAAAAAAAAAAAAAAAAGATAAAGAATAGACAAAGTGGACAAAGAGTAATAAAAAGGTGAGGGCCGGGCACGGTGGCTCACGCCTGTAATCCCAGCACTTTGGGAGGCCGTGGCGGGCAGACCACGAGGTCAGGAGATCGAGACCATCCTGGCTAACATGGTAAAACCCCGTCTCTACTAAAAATACAAAAAATTAGCCGGGAGTGGTGGTGGTCACCTGTAGTCCCAGCTACTGGGGAGACTGAGGCAGGAGAATGGCGTGAACCTGGGAGGCGGAGCTTGCAGTGAGCCAAGATCGCGCCACTGCACTCCAGCCTGGGCGACAGTGCGAGACTCAGTCTCAAAAAAAAAAAAGAGGTGAAAAATACAGTGAGTGCAACTGAGGATAAATCATGTTGAAAAATAAATATATAGACTTTCAGTTAAAGGTTATGAATTGTACACATGCATTTTCCTCTAGTTCTGTCTCAAAACTCCATTTGAACAATAGTTTAAGGACTAAAAAATAAAGACAGAAACCCAGAAGGATAAAGAAATCAGAAGAAAACAGAGCTTTTTGGAAGATGGAAAGCAGATGGGAAATGAATTAGCAGAACTAGTAAAGCATAATTATAATTCAAAATCTTATAATTCAAATATAAGCAAGAGAAATATGAGCCAAATATAAGCAAAAAAAAAAAAAAAAAGTAAATATAGACTTCTATATTTACTCAGAAGCCACCGCAGAATCCCCAGGCTGGGTAGCATTAGGTACCTCTGAAAAGAGAGGTCCAAGTAGGAGAATTGGTTGAAAGTGTATTTAGAAATCTATGAGACCCCTTACCTTTTACCAGCAGCAAAGTGACTATCCTGGCATATTGCAGGTTTCTTTCTCTAAAGAGAGTAAAACAGCAGATCTTGAGATCGCAGAATACTGAGCAGAGTTGAAAAGTGGGTCCATGCCCCGTGAAAAAGGGGTATTGAATTAAAAAGGGGGTGATCAAATGTGTACATACCACGTACTAAATAAACAGACTTTCTCCTCACACAACCTCCAGGATACAGGCATCCAGGCTTATACCCTCAAGGTAGAGGCTGGAGGAGACTTTTTCTGGGGAATCTGATCATTCCACGAGGAAAAAATTCTGACATTGCGGTATGAAATGGCTTAGCGAGATAATCCTATACCGAAGCCCATGGACAGTCCTCTGTACACAGAGCTTTCTGGTGTCCTACGCTTAAATATGAGATACTCGAAGAAAGTATTTTGAAATCCAGAGACCAAAAAGAACAGACAAACAAGAAACACAGCCTAAGCAGGAAGATGAAAATTTCTAAAAACTATTATAAATATGCTCCAAGAGATGAGAGAAAAATTTGTGTTGGTGAAAGAAGAATAGTATTATGCAGGAAAGGAACATTGGATGAAAGGTTAAAAATGAGAGCTGAAGTGAAAACAGTAAGTGGGAGGATTTCCAGATAAATCTGAGGAAATAATCCAAAAAAATACAAAAAAAAGATGAAAAATAGAAGAAAATAAATGAACCATATCAGAAGGTATAACATCTGAAAATATAAAGTTCAGGAAAAAGAGAATCTATAAAACAGGGGGTAAGACATTATTAAAGAAATGGAAAAAAATGTTCAGAATTGAAGGATGGAGTTTTCAGGTTAAGTGGATTCAGCACAATGAATGAAAATAGACGCACATCAAAACACATCATTATAAAACTATAGATCACTGGGCACAAAGAAATCTCTAAAGTCTTTCACAAAAAGGGGAAAAAAGGATGTTTCCATACAAAGAATCAAAAACCAGAAAGGTAATAGACTTTTCAAAGCCTCCCCTAAAAGCTAGGAGAAAATTGAACAATGTATTATTCAAAATGGATTCTTCAAGCTGAGAATGTTATATCTGGCCAAGCCATTCATTAAGTGGGATAGTAACATAAAAATCTTTTCAACTTAAAAGTTCTCAAAAAATTACTTATCAGATAACCTCATTTAGGAAGCGATTTGAGAAATCACATACTGAGAGGGGGAAAACCAAGACAAAAGTGGAATCCAGGGAACGGGGGATCCAACGCAGAATATGCACAAATGAGTCCCCAAGATAATGACAAAGGAAGATTCCAAAGTGTCAGTCACCCAAGAGGTCTAGAGAACAATCTCTCTGCCTAAGACCAGTTCAGGAGGCTCTGTGGGTATTTCTTCAAGAGGAAATCAGTAATTACCTAATGTATTTGAATGTATTAAAAGGAGGTTTTTCACAACTTGGGAAGAATTTGGGGAAAAATTAGCGATATGTACTAGAAAAACTAAGCAAAAGAAAAATCTTTTGGAAAATGAGTGGACTGTGCAGGGAAGGAAATATACTACACAATCAACTGCAAATAACACTTATATAATCATTGTAATATAAATATTGAAAACTGAGCCACAGTGAAAACATAGCTATCTCGTGGGACCCGGTGAACAAAAGCTTGCCTGGGTTAAGTGGAGCAGAGGGTGAAAGAGAGCCAAATCCTCATTTCCCATGCTGGGAAGTTAATTTATAATCCCTAAACTAAAATACAAATTAAGAAGGAATATTATAAGCATATTATTTAGAGGATATGGAGGCAGATATGGAAAGCACGAGCTGAAAGAACTGAATGCACTTGTCTCATTGAATAATTTGATTCTTTAAGCTATGCGTGTAAATCACATCGATAAAAATAAAATTTAAATTTGTAAAAAAGGAATTTATCAAGTTGTAGAGAAAGTAAGATGTTGACCTCTATCTACCCTTGGTTCTTAGAGACTATTTTACTTTCTAAATATTCATATTCACCAGCCCTCTTGCTCTTTAAGGATTTAAAATAGCCCTTCTGTCAATTTAACAATGTTTTATTTGCATTTTAGAGATTTCTATATCATGGCTTTTGTGATTAAAATTGCTCTGGAAGGCTAAGCCCAGCAGCCATATTGTCTGTTTGCCTTTCTGAATCAGGTTTCAAATGGTGAGCAAGGGCTCAGCCTCTCCATTCCTGTTTGTGTTTACTCAGGCAGGTGCCATTTTGTGACAAAGAAGATAAGATCTGTTCCCAGGACTGTAAGAGGTGACAAGTATATTATTTGAACATGTGGGAAAACTATTTAAATAAAAATGCCCAAGATTATCATCACCCATATCAATCAGTTTAAACAGGAACCAAATAAATGTCACCCTGCCTTCACGTACTTACTGGCAACTTATCCGCCAGGTATCCACAAAGAACAGGGAGGCAAGATGTTGACGCCAGTTGAGAATTTACTGAGTCAGGTATAGAGAAAATAGAAACTGCATAAAAATTGGATGTTAGTAAGCCTTAAACCACTATTATCTAATTTAATCTTTAGAACAACCTTATCAGGTATTTATTTATTAATACCCCAAATTTACAGATAAGACACTTAGAGTTTAAGCAACTTGTCTACAGGAAAGAGACTGGGAATCAAATTTATGTCTATTTCATTACAAAGTCCAACCTCTTAAACATTTGCACTGCTTAGGTGAGAGCTTATAAATCGTCTTCATACAGTGGGGACGTTTATGTTTGTGAGTATATGTGCATATACGCACACATTTGTTTGTTGGGAGAGTGAGAATTATCAGAATACCAGAATATTCTGGACATTCTATTTTGATGTGTCACCCATTGGTGTCCTTGTAATTTCTAAGGGAAATAAATGTACCAAGGATAAAGCCAAAACCACGTGCTCTCCTTGTAACTGTGCGCTTTGACCCTAAATATCTACATAGTCAGTCGCTGGTGAGCTAGACTGAGTGGTGTGAAAAAATGCCTGGCAAGAGACAAAGCTGAATGCTTTCTCCTCTGGACATTTTCTAACCAGTGCTGTGCTGGAGAAACTTGTACTGGCTTGTAAGAGCCAATAGCTGAATTTTTAGGAATTTTGCTAGCCAGTGGGTGTCAAGTTGGTAATTTGAAATGGGCCATGGTGGGAGTCTTTACTTATACCACAGTACTTTAGCTCCCCGAGTCGAACCACTCACATGCAGAGGAAAATCCAGTCCAGGAAGAGCAAGCTGCTCCATACAAGTGCCAAAGAGCTTTTCCCAAAACCTGGAGCAGAGCTGACCTAGGTCTTTTGGCCCAGACCTTCATAGGGCACAACAACAAGAGATTCTGACCTTGTCTAATTTTGTGAAACCTGATTGGAGAGGAGTGAGCAGTAAAAGAGAATGAGAAAGTCAAGAGTGACCCAAGCAGATGGCTGGACCACTTCCCAGGAGCAGCAGCCTCTCTCAGACTCTTCTTGCCTCTTCACCCGCTTCTGGCTTCAGAGTTGAACTTCTTTGCTCCTTCATAAAGTTTTACTCTCAAGCACTGTAACCCAAATACTACCTTTGAACTTTACCTGCCTTCAAGGACGCCCTTTAAGTGGGGGCATTGCAGCTTTCCCAGGGCTACAGAAATTTATCAGCTGCACATTGGAAAACAAGCCATGCCACCTATTGCAACCATGTTTTTGTTTGCTATAAAACAGAGTGTTAACACCACCCATTCGGGGATGCTTGAAGAACAAATGTCAAGATTCCTGATATGCAGCCAAACATGACAAACAAAAAAAATTATTGTTATTGTGATTGTCAATATTATGACTATGGATTTGGGCACTTATCAGGAAATATATTTGAAGATCAGAAAGAATCTAACTGGAGTTATGCCATTCATCTCAGAGGCTAAAACAGCTTATTTGATGAATTTTTAAGTAAATAGCAGGCTCAGGAAAATGTTGATGCTCCATGGCCAGCATCCCTGATAATTCTAAGAGGTTACACTACTAGACTCAAACTTCAATGTTGTTATCGAGCTGGCACCAGGTAAGAGGTCACTGAGAAGCACACATCAGTCATGAGAACCTTATTTGTCAGCCCACCTACCCCTTTTACCTAATAAGTGTTTAATAGCTGGTTTTAACCTGGGGGCCTTGATTCCTTGATCCACTTATTTCTGTAGGATACAACATGGGTTTGCGGGCACACTGCCCTCACAGATGGCTTCACACAGAAGTGCTGCTCTAGCTCTTCCCTGCAAGTAACTAAGTGATGGAGAGTTGGGAGTAGAATTATTCTAACTTGTTTGCCATAGATCAAGGGGCACTGCCTGTAAACTTCCAAGTCTTTTTGATAGACAGTGAGGGTACCAGGAATTGGCTAGGGAGGGGAATGGCTAAAGATCAATCTCATAGTCTATATAACACCTTTTCCTCCAAGTCAGCATAAATCAATACACAGCAGACAACAGAACAGCACACTTGCTGCATAGAGGTAGATTTACAGCAAGCTCTCCAGCCCCTTCAGCAATCAGAAGACCACCCCTCAACTCTCTCTGCAGTGAAATTCTGGAGTTGCCACTTAGGGCAAACATCTCTAAACAGGTGAAGGGCTGCAGTTTAGAGGAAGAAATGGAACTAACAGATATAGTCCAGATTAAAAACTTCAGCAAATTGGTGGAGGCTCCAAGGAAGCAGTTATGGTTCTGCTAAAACAGAACTTTTACATGACTAAGAGTCCTGGTGTACACAAAATGAGCATTGAATATGGTTGGAAATCTACTTCACATTTTATTAGTGACACTTTAATATATTTGGAAACTTCTCCCACAAAGAGTCAATCTTCATGGATGAGAAATTCATTTAGGAAGTATGATATCTTTTAATCAAGAGATTTCACCATCTATTAGGCCTGGAAATAAACTACAAATGACCTCCAATTTCCTGTAGCCAGTCACCATCCTTGAAAGCCCTGTGAATAATTCATGAAGGTGACCCATTGCTTCTCTCATCTGTATCACAGGTGATCTGATGGTTTCATTGACAACCATCTTTGTTATGTAAGTGAAGAGTGTGTGTGTATGCACGTACACATAAAGCAGTAGATGAATTTCTCCTTTAGTTTACGGCTTTGGAAAATGTCTCTACCTATGCTATAAAAAGGTACACTTTCTTTTATTCAAATGATGACGGTAAGGTTACATCCCATTTTCTTTTTTGTCTTGGTTAACAAAAGACTCAACTCAATATCGTCATCTCCTGTAGAAATTTACTCCGAATAGAATTTTGTTAAAACTACTTTTTCCCTCCTCTCCAAAGAATTTGAGAGAGCAAAACTCCCTTTGGAAATTTGGCAAAAGTTGAATGCATAAATAAAATCAATAATGAATACCTAAAATGAATAATAAATAATGTATAACATAAATACATTCATACATAAAACATACTACTGACCTAGTCTCTCAGGAATCCAAGTTTAATATTGAATGGCTTTACCTGACTGTTGCCTATTACAATTACCTAAAGAAATAGAAGAAGTTGGTATGTATTTTAAACTTATTATATATTAGTTTTCCAATTAGGGAAATAGGACAATATATGTACTTTTCTTAGTGTGTAAAAATATTTTCAATAGATTCAAAATAGATTCAAAACATTTGTGTTTGAACTTCCAGGTTACAGTTGTAATTTTTGATATATATTTTGCTTCTGTGGGGTAAAGATAAGCATCCTTGCTTCCTGAGAAAAGAAACATCATTATTTTAATGATGAGTAATAAGCATGTCAAATGTCCAATGAATTTGCACCTCACAGTCTTTGCTGTCAACATAAAATTTTGCAAGGCCGGATATGAATTTTGCAGTAGCTTTGTGAAAGAAGGTGGGTGTCGCTTTTGTCAAACAAACCAACCTGTGTATTAAAACATTCTATGTTTGATAAGCCTTTTGTCACTAACAAGTCCTGATTAAATTATCATTATGCAAAACATGGCCTTGGCAGTGCCAATGCCAATATTGATATTGACCTCACCTTGGCCACCCAGCACAGAAGAACTTTTTCATTTTATTTGACTTGCAACTTTTGTTCGTAAACCTGGTCTTGTACATATTTACTCTCTTACTCTCTAGCACCTCATACCCACAGATACTGGCAATAATCAGGCTATCACATTTCCTCAATATTCATCCAGCTATGATTAGCTTTCTTATTTGTAAGATATGGCATTCGTGTGAACAATTCAAATTCACTACTGGCAAATAATGATAATGCAAAAAAATTAATTTCAAAATTACTTCCTGTGTTTACACAATGGCTTCCAAGACTAAGTTTAATTTGATGAATAATACTGATCAGACAACTCACACACACTCTCTCACACACACACACTAAATATTTGCAGGTACTTTTCTTATTATGTTGACCAGTAAAACAATAAAATTGGTAAAAATTGCATCTATTCATAAATGACAGCGGCAATAGTCTTTTTGAACAAGTTATTTGATTCCGTTTCAAATCATTAATATATATGAATACTCTATTTGCAATTTAAATTTAGAGAAATTGTATGTCAGAATGAATATCTACCCAGTAAGAGATTTAATTGTATTTTCTCCAATAAAATTTCAGGACACAATTTTCCGAGGATTAAAGGCTATTAAATGTCAGGCTATTACTATGCCTGACACCAGGCACAATTTATAAACACATGGAGAGCCAGGGCTTGTGTCATGGGATGCCACAAAGTAGAGTGGCAGTGAAATGGTGAGGTTTCTATCATCCTCTGATATATCACTAGGGGAAAACTACGAGACACTGACTCCAAGCAAAAGCTGATTACAGAACATTGCTTTGCCCAACATAAGGATGAAGAGATGATCCTAAGAGACCTTGAAGGTAGAAAGCTGCACGTAGTATCCCAGAGTCTCCAGCACCTCATTTGTAACTGAATAAATGGTACCTACTCCACTACTATGAAGATCAATGAGAATGCATGGAGTGTTTAGTCCCATGCCTGGTGTATAGCAGGAATTTAACAAACATTACTTTCCTTTTCTAATTAAAGTTAAATTAGCCTTAATGCTCTTCTCAACCTTGAAGTAGACAAAAGATCCCTTTTCACAAATAAACTTAGTGCAAAGACCACTGGGCTAGGAGTCTGAGAATCTGGGCTCTAGTTCAAGAAACTAACCTCTGTGAGAATTTGGTTACCTCATTTTCTCTCTTTGAGTTTGTGTCACCATCTGTAAAATGTGGCTTTGACAATTTCACCTGTTCATCTAGTTTGGTCATTCTGAGCCCTTCTGGATTCCTGAGAGCCTTCCCTAATAAAGGATGTTATTGAAGTGGAGAGTCTGGTATTGTCCTGGTTCTAGCAGGGTCCCTCAAAGGGATCATTTACTGCAAAGAAAGATTAATATTAAAACATCTTTATCCCCTCAGAATATTTTTCAGGAGACCTACTATGGAAATCCATAAGGCCTGGGAGTAAGACAGGAGAACCAACAGACCCCAAGTCTATTATCTATTATCTATTATCTACTTAGATCTTTTGGCCATCATTCATCTCTGCTCTTCTTCCTGGCACACTCCTTCCACACCTTGTCCCTGTGATAAACTCCTTTGTGATTAAACTTCAAATGGTATCATAAGGAAAGGAGGTATTCCTTATTCATCACAGACTGTGTTTGATATTCCTTCCTCACTCCCACCACCAATGCCTCACCCTTCATAAGTTTTCAGTACATAGTTTTTGAATAAATAAATGATATATTAGGTACTTAAAAAAAGAACTAAAATGACAGTGATTTTTTGTATTGCTCGTGTCAGAGCCCAGTAGGGTTTTTGGTAGATAGCATTCCACATAGTGATACAGGGATCAAGTTTCCTTCTATTTGTGGCTCTGTCATTTCTTAGGGCTTTAGAGTCTTCCACTGGATTTTTTAAGTCTGATAACCAGCTAGAGAAGAAATAGCAAGTCAAGAATCTCATGGGAGAATTTGGGCACCAAGCCTGGAAATGGTGTACATCACTTTTCCCAATGTTCCTTTAGCCAGAGTTTATAAATACATATTCACAACACTGCAGCAAAGGAGGCTTAAAAATGTAGTCTTGTGTATCCAAGAAGAAGAAACTGGCTTGGAGACCACCTAGGAAATCTCTGCCCCATAAAATTGTGTGCACACTCTACTCTAATTTTCTGTTGATGTAACTATTTTATTTTCTAGATTAGAAACTCCTTGAGATGAGAAAGAGTGACTTACCTACGGTTATGTCCTTATCACCAGACACAAGGGTGGGTGCTTGTGTTTGCTGAACTGAAAGATATTCTAGGAGTCTATTGCCTTAGATATCATCTATTCAGTGAGTTTGGCATGATTACCATTTTTCAACATTTCTTATCCTGATATTTACACATGAGTTACAGATAGCTTGGCATCTCCCTTGTATAGATAAAATGCAAGTCAATTCAATCAACACTTATAGTGCATTTACTATGAGCTGGGCACTCTGGTACTGGCTGAGAAAATATACAGTTATTGCCTAAGATTTCAGACCTCAAAGTGTTATGGGAGACCACAGAAAAAGCAGAATGACTGTTGTACCCAGACAATGGCTTATGAGGTGACCCGCATTTTGAAGGATGAGTAGGAGTTTGCCATGAAGAAAAAGGATTGACTATTCCAGACAAATGGAGCAAGATACACAAGCCCATATGTGTAAAAGGGAAGGCATACTGCATTGAACAATGCCAAGTGCTAGAGCATAGACTAAATCAGAAGGAGTGAGGAAAGACGACCCTGTTCAGGCAGATTAGGACCGTTATGTGCAGGGCCTGGTATGCCACATATGCAAATCAAACAAACATCAAACACAATGCTCCGCTCTATTCCCACTCTCAGTGTGCAGTTGTTAGCATTGGTAATCAGCATCTCATTTTACATTAAAACAATCACAAGAGGAAACTCAGTCTCTTGCCACTTAAGTAGCTCTCCACTGCCTGAAAATAAATTTCACTGGAGCTGCATTCTCTAGACCTGTATTGAATTTAAACTCTAGAGTGACCTTTTACTTAAACGTATCTCTGGACTACCCAGCATGAGACAATATACCCAGCTATGCATTGCAGGAAGATTGCTGAACAGATACCCTGCACTGAAAATGCCCAATTTATCATCATGAAAGATCACTGAGTCCCACACTGGCTTGAATCCCTGCAAAGAAAGAGGGCATGCAAAATATGTCCAATGCCCAGTCTTGTTTTGTAGGTTCCCACGTTGTTTGGGAGCCAACTAGTGTTGGCTTTTTGTTGTTGTTGTTTATTTTGATCTCTCTAGGAGAGGTAGAAGAGGGTTAGAAGATCTTGCCAGTCATTAACTTCACATGCTGATGACCCAGGACTACAGGCAGACAGAGGAAGGGGCTGAGTAAATATCCAACTTTTCATTCCCACTGAGCTAAACCAACTGAGGAATTTAATTTAATGCACCAAATAATCATTCATTCTTAGCTGGTATTTCAATGGTTCTTATTCCTATTAGGTACTATATGTTGCCACACACAATGAGAAACACCTCCACTCCCAACACTCAGTATTTATGGGCATCTCAAAAAATTATTGTACACATTAACAAATCCATTAGGTAGTTCATTCAATGCCATGTAGCATGCATTATTGTTACCATCCTTCTGCTTTCCTCTCTCTTGGATGGGGACCACCTTGTCCTTCAAATCCACTCTGTCTGCCAAGAACTGCTAAGTTGTAGGTAAGTGCAACGAGAAGGAATCAATCATGTGGAGGGGAGTGTTTGAATTGGCCTGGAGGAGGACATAAGAGGTTACTGGGATGTGACATGAATAGAAAGAGATTTCCACGGGGAGGGGTGGAGGAATTTGAGGCAGAGAGCAACCATGTGCACAAAAGAGATGGCTACAAAAAGGTATGCCAGGTCCAGAGTGCAGCAAGAAATTTGATATTACTGGAATGTGATGTATAGAAGAAATGAAGCCAACCAAGTGTCTGGGATGCTGGGATGCTGTCAGAATGGACTTGGATACCTTGGTGAGAAATTTTGGTCTATTCTGGGAGTAACAATGGTCCCTGAAAAATATTAAGTAACATTGGGTAAGTAGCATAATCAGAGTCGTGCTTTAAAATAATCGTTTAGGAGGCAGTGTTGAGAGTGAACTAGGGTAGCAATTGTCTGCCTAGTATTCTACTTAGTATTGGCGGTGAGCGGGGGGAAATTATGACTAGCCAGAGTCCCTGCTCTCAAGAAGCTTAGACTCCTGGGAGAATAAGTATCTTCAGATAATGTGGAAGAAGATACAAAAGAAGAGGAGAATCCATAAATCACAACGCACTCCTTGTGTTCAGAAATAAAACTCATTTTCTACAAAATTTCCTCCTACGTATTATGGTATGCTGCAGTGATTTTCAAAGTCTTTATTTAGCCTAGAACCCCTTGCTCAAACAAAAGTTAGGTGGAATCAGTAACAAAAAAGTCAAGGAGAAGAGGCTCTGTTCTGGTAAAAAGTAGGGTAAGGAGGCAGAAATCTATTCTTTCATGCTCCACTCCCAATCCTGGATTGGCTTCTTAGGCCACTTACAGCTCAGCAGAGAGCAGTTTGAAAATGATTGATCGGATTAAGGGAACTTGGACTTTGCAGTCCAGGAGAGTTGAGTTTTAATTTTAGCTCTGACATTTATAGGAAATGTATTCTAAAGCAAGTCACCACATTTTTCTGATCCTCAGTTCCCTCATCTGAAAATAGGGGCAATGACAACTACAGTCATGTATCACTCAATGACAGGGATATGTCCTGAGAAATGTTTTTAAGTGATTTTGTCATTGGGAAAACATCATAGAGTGTGCTTACACAAACCTAGATGGTATAGCCTACTACACCCCTAGGCTATATGGCATAGCCTATTGCTCCTAGGCTTCAAACCTGTACTGCATGTTACTATACTGAATTCAGTAGGCAATTGTAACACAATGGGAAGTATTTGTGTATGTAAGCATAGAAAAGATACAGTAAAATGCAATATTATAAGTTAATAAGACCACCATTACATATGCAAACCATCATTGACTGAAATGTCATAATGGGACACATGACTGTACTTCTAAGAGTTATTGTGAAAAATCAAATGAGATGATGTAAAATGATTAACAGAGAGTAGCTGAAATTGATAAGCACTGAATGAATGATAGCAATCATCATCATCATCATCATCATCATCATCATCATCATTTCATATGTAATTAGCAAAGGATTTTCTAAAAGTGAGACCAGCTTATCACTCAATCCCGGCTAGCCAGTTGCATATTCTTTTGATGAAGTTAACAGGATCAGTTCCTCAACTTTAAAATTCCAGGAAGTCAATCTCACCAGCATACCTCGAAGTGACCAAACTTTGATGGATCAACTGCAATAGCCAAACTCATAAAACAAGAATATGCAGATTGGTTACCAATATAAAATTTATAATGGGATAGAGACCCTTCTAAGAGCAAAAATAATTGGTTTTGCTATTCCAGATACCTCTTTCCAGTTAGGAGAGTTGGATGTGCTTCCAGAAACCTGGTCAGCATGCAGAATAGCTCCAGTAGCTCTCAGCTATATGGACCCTTCCTGACCCAGAGTTAGACCCGGTGAACTGATTACCAGAATCCTCAAGCTCACCAGGTACTGTGCCCTTCACTCACCCAAACAAGGCCTTTGGTAGAGTACAACAAATACTGATGACCTCTTACCATGTATTCAATTTAATGACCTTAGATGTCAACTATGAGTCGGTCATGGTTCTAGATGGTTTAGATACACACATTAGCCAAGTTAAGTAACGCTAGCTGCTATGTAAACCACCTCTATAACCTCAGCAGGTTAACACAATAGACCTGCTCACAGGTCTTGCTCACATAATGGTCAATATTTCTTGCTCACATAATGGTTCAGTGTAGGCTGGGCGATGCAACTGGGTAGCTCTCCTCCAGGCAATAAGTCAGGTATCCAGGTGTGTGAATCTGCCATGCAGGTGGGGGACACGGTGCATGGAAGATTATATTAAACCTTTCATGGTCAAGGCTAGAAATGTCATACAACACTCTGTCGACATTCAATTGGCCAGCACCCAGGCGCATGGCTCTGAAGAGGCTATTAAATGAGCTGCCTTTATGTGTCCAAGAACAAGAAATGAGGTTGATGAGCTACATTCTGCCTCACAGTCCGTCCGATCTCTTTCCTGGTTGGGTTTACATCAACTATCTCTTTTCCTGGCTTTCAGGCAGCCCATGATTGGTTGAGCCTATCTTTGCTTCAAAGTGATAAAGGCAGTCCTGTTGAGTGGGACCTGGCTGAATTTAATGACAGACTATCACAACCTGAACCTGAATACTTTGGCAAGACGTGACATTTCCATTCATTTATATGGCAGAGCATGGACTATCCACCTGTAAGGGCAGGCCACTTCCAGTCACTCTCAAAGGGTCTCTATTTCTAAATTCTTGTAATATTTTATGCTATCCTCTATAGACTGACATAATCTACTTGCTTACATGTTCCTTTTTTCTGGAAGGCCTTCTGTCATTCCATAAACTGGTACAAATATCTTGTCTGGGTGCATTTCTTTCTTCTTGAACCTTCCGCACCGTAACATCCTTTACATTTTATTGTCATTTAACCTTTTGATCTTTGAGATAGACAAGGGAAGGGACCGTGTCTTGAGCACATATTTCTTTATTCTTAGCATCTAATACATTACATAAAATGTTAAAGCCACTGAAATGTTTTTATTTAATTAATCGTTTATTTACTTAATTTAGTATTATTTCTTGAATGCTGACTGACTGAATGAATGATTGAAAAATGAAGAAAAGCCAGGTATGGTGGCACTCATCTATACTTCCAGCTACTCAGAAGGCTGAGACAAGAGGATAGCTTGTAGTCAGGAGCAGGAGGCTACAATGAGCTCCGATGGAGCCTATTAATAGCCACTGCACTCCAGCTTGGGTAACATAGCAAGGCCCTGTCTCTAAAAAGATAAACAAATAAAAATTTAGAAAATAAATAAAGAAGATTAAGAGAGTGTAGAGTTGTCATTCAGCCTGCTTTAAAGTTTCCAGACTAGCTTTGGAATTTAGAGGAAAGAAATGAAAACCTCTGGATGGCTTATTGATTCTCTGCAACAGTTTGGTGGTGAATCCAAGATTTTTATTGCCATTTAGTGGATAAGAACACTGAGGTCAACATCATACTGTGGGTCAGTAGAAGAGATGACATTTCAACTTGCATCTCTCTGGCTTGAGCCCCTGTTCTTTCCTCTCATGAGACCTCATTGCCTCCCTTCTGGTGAGTGAAGGAGTATGATACCCTTTCTACTTGTGTAGTTCTTTAGGGTGTCCCAGGCATGTCACAGCCAGAACCTCACTGGTGCTGGCATGGCAGCTATCACTGGGAGGATGCACTGAGCCCCTGCTTTGTGACAGAGCCAGCTGCCCAAGGCACAGCCAACAGCTTCTAATCAAAGGGAATTCTGAAGAAAAAAAAAAACCTTCAGCAATCTTCTGGGGATTCTTCCTATCAAAGTCCCTGGCAATAAATAATACATGAAAAGAGATCCGCTCATGCGAAGGTGGACTTCAAAGCGGGTGGGGTAACAGTGCTCAAACCCACCACTTGGCGTCTGTGCTGTCTGCTCATTCCAGAAGTTAATTCACAGAGAATAGCATGAGGGAATGCCTGCCTCCCTGCAGCTGATTCATGGGAACTCCGAGCCTGCATTAACAGGAGGGAAGGGCAGCTTGCTAGTCTTTCAAGAGCATTTTCCCAGCCCCAAGCCTTAGAGCTAGGCCTTGGACTGCTGCTGTGACATGTGTTCTGAGCTAGTCCCAAACAAGCACAAACACAATAGCCTCCACTGATCAATGCAGCAGGGCTGAAGGATGGAATCCAAAGCATGAACCCTGAGAACAGAAAGTCCCAGCACTCGCTCTGTGCAAGTTGCCATGAACTCCAGCCATGCATCCTGTGGCCAAGGATGGGTGGCCCCCGAGCAGGAAACTCTTTGGCAGCCTCCACTGCGTGCTTTGCCTGCTGACAAGAGCACACCCTGGCCTTGGTTATTGCCCTTATAAAACAGCTCAAGGAGGATGTGAGCCAAACGTTTTAAATGTGCCTGGAAGAAAAATGTTAACTATGAATCCACGCGGTAGAACAGTACAGTACAACTGCAACAACACGCAGCACTGCTCTCAGAGAAGGGGCCAAGGAGGAAACTGCAACTGTTGCCCAGGTTTCCTGTGGCTTTTCCTTTTCCTCTCTCTGGGGCCAGGGCTGCTCTGAAACCCACTTTGCAACAGAATCTGAGAAATGGGTGCTTTTGTGGCTGTAATTAGAGTCATAGAATTTACAGAATTTTCCCTATTAGGGGAGACTTTAATCCTCCAGTTTGCATGTAAATAGAGACAGAAATTGAAGCTTATAGAGGTCATCATCAAGGTCTATCCTTTCTTACTGAAATTCATTTTGCCTGT
The DNA here is from genome assembly GCF_000001405.40 of Homo sapiens. Lineage (NCBI taxonomy): Eukaryota > Metazoa > Chordata > Mammalia > Primates > Hominidae > Homo > Homo sapiens. The sequence goes on from NC_000009.12 coordinate 108,143,401, forward strand.
TTCCAATCCACATTTTGCAAAAGAAAGTTAATGCATGTAGGATGTCTTTCATAATCGGTACCTATTATCTATCAGGTAATGTCTTAGGTATTTTTCCCATAGCTTATTGAATCTCCAGTACAGCCTTAGAAAGAAATATTATTACCTATATATTAAACAGAAAGAAATAAAAATTGTAGGTGTGTATGTTCCAATACCGGCAAGTACTGGAACAAGCATTAGATCCCTAGTGTCCCTGACCCCAGAACCTCTGTTCTTTTCATTGTGCTAAAATGCCACTCAAGTGTCATTTAAGAGACACATAAGTGTCACTTACACATAAGTGTCTCATATCTCTGGGCTACTGATATCCATTTTTTCTCTAATAACTCTAATAAAGATATTCAATGGAGGTAATCAGAATGATCTTTGAGTACTTCCATCAGGATAAAACCTATTTTGTCCTACCTCATGTTGAAATACCAGAAGCACCGTAGGAAAAAGGACAAGAATGCCCACCAGTGGCATTAACATTTTTTTTTTTTACACTTCAGCCAATAAAATAGAGCAAAACTTAGAAAACTAAAGCAAGAATCCTGCTTTATTTGATAATTGATTGTATAGTGTAAAACTAAGAAAAAATAGCTGTAAAAACTCATAGAACTACTAAGAGAGCTCAGTAAATTAGCCAAATAAAATTTAAAATCAAATCGATGACTTTTCTACATAACAGCAATCTCCATTTAAAAGACACAATGGAAAAAGATCGATTATACTTGTATTAATATATACACCTAAGTACTTTAACAAAATTGTGTGATCTATTTAAATGAAACCACAGAGTTTTACAGAGACTCAAAAGAAAATTTTACAAAATCAAGAAAGGTTTTAAGTTTCCAGATGAGATGCATGAACAAGGATGCCAGATCTTCCCAAATTAATACATAAATTTATCATGATAGTAATAAGGTTTTTACATTAAAAACATCGTTGTAGAGTTATTCAGAAAAGACTGAACAGATGAGTAAAATAGCTAAGAACACATATAAAACAAGAGAAAGAAACGAGAGAGTTTGTCCATCGAAAGATATATAATATTGCAATCATTAAAACAGGATTATACTATCACAAGACTGGATAGATCTACCAGTGGAACAAGACAGAAAGTTCTAGAATGATCATACAATGATCTGGAACTTAATATATGATAATAATGGAAGTAGCAATATTCAATGCAAAATTCAAAGGTATAATATTCACCATATAATACTAGCAAAAGTGGCTAAAAATATGGAAAGAAATAAACATTTACTTAATCCTAATATCACATATCTACCAATTCAAATTCCATATGCCTTACAGATTTATGTGAAAACAAAGAAAACAATTATTAAAATATGAAAATTACAGTAAATATTTAAATTATCTTGAAAGCAGGAAATAACTTCTTCAAACTTTTATTTTAGGTTCAGGGGTGTATGTGCAGGTTTGTTACACAGGTAAACCTGTGTCACAGGGGTTTGTTGTATACAGAAATAATTTCTAAATATAAAATAAATGCAAAAAATCAGAAATAACACAAGTCACAAAAAAAGACACTGCAAAAAAAATACAAAAGAAGAAAAATGTGAAATTAGAAAAGCATTTTCAATGAATAAAAACAAGAGTGTAATACTTTTATATATATATAGATGTATGTGTGTGTCTGCATATATATAAATACATCTCAGAAATCATTTTTAAACAATTTCCAATACCCATTAGCATAATCATACTAGTAGCTATGCCTTAGCCCGTTCTCACCAAGCGGAAACATTCACCTGGATGCTCTGTATTTATCATTTCATATAAGTTTCACACGACGGCATTGGGTTATTTATGCACACAAAATGAGAATGCTAAGACAGGCAATGGTTATTTGCAGAAGGTCACACCACTGGGCCAAAAAAGAAAGAAAAAATCAAAACCAGATACATCTGTCTATAAAGGTCTTACTTCTAAACATGACCCTATATAAAAGTGGCCAAAAGTGATGAGTACCTATGTCAAAGAGGAAGAAAAGTATTTGGTTAACAAACATTTGATTAGTGTTTAGTCTGCCAGTATTCAACATTAAGAGACACCATTTTTAACTATCAAATTAACCCCAAAAATGAGAAATAACAACAAGACCAATCAATGTTGGTGAAGCATTAGCAAAGACGTGGAATCAACTTAGGTGCCCATCAACAGGGTACTGGACACAGAAAATGCGGTACATATACATGATGGAATATTATGCAGCCATAAAAAAGAATGAAATCATGCCCTTAGCAGCAACATAGGTGCAGCTGGAGGCCATTATTCTAAGTGAATTAACACAGGAACAAGAAACCAAATACCGTGTGTTCTCTTGTATACGTGGGAGCTAAACACTGGGTCCTCATGGACATAAAGGTAGTAACAATAGACACTGGGGACTAGTAGAGGGAGAGAGAGGCAAGGGGGCAGAATTTGAAAATCTACCTATTGGGTACTGTGCTCACTATATGGCTGGTAGGATCAATCATAGCCCAAACTTAGCATGATGCAATGTACTCATGTAGCAAACCTGCATGTGTACCCTTTGAATCTAAAATAAAAGTTGAAATTATTTAAAAAAAAAATACTAGTAAAGGTGAATTCCACATAGCTGCAGAGTCAAAAATGCACACACCTTTCTGGAAAAGAATTTGGCAATATACATCAAAAGTCCTTAAAAATGTTCTTACTGAATAACTCTGCTTCTAGGAATGTACACTGAGGAAACCATCAGAGAAACTCATTCAAATGTATTCACAAGGAAATTCACTGAAGGCCTATTTATAAATTTACTTAAAGAATTGAAAGTAAAATTAGTGAAAATGTAAAGTATCCAGAATATGGGTGTGGTGGGCTGAATAATCCCCCTCATCCCCCAAAGGCATCCAGATCTGAATCCTCAGAACCCAGAAATATGTTACTTTCCATAGCAAAGGGGTCTTCGCAGATACGATTAAGTTAGAGAAGAGGAGATTATCCTGTGTTACCTCGGTGGGACCACTGTCATCACAAAGGTCTTTTTTTTTTTTTTTTTTTTTTGGAGACAGAGTCTCACTCTGTCTCCCAGGCTGGTGTGTAGTGGCATGATCTCGGCTCACTGCAACCTCCGCCTCCCAGGTTCAAGCAATTCTCCTGCCTCAACCTCCTAAGTAGCTGGGACTACAGGCACATGCCACCATGCCTGGCTAAGTTTTATAATTTTAGTAGAGACAGGGTTTCACCATGTTGGCCAGGCTGGTATTAAACTCCTGACCTCAAGTGATCCACCCACCTTGGGATCCCAAAGTGCTGGGATTACAGGCATGAGCCACTGCGCCCAGCCACAAAGGTCTTTATAAGAGGAGACAAGAGGACAGAGTCAGAGCAGAGGGAGAGGAGGTGATGACAAAAACAGAGGTTGGAGAGATGTGGGGCCACAAGCCAAGGAGTGTGGGAAGCTGGAAAAGGTAAAGAAATGGACACGCCCCCAAATTTTTCAGAAGCAGCACAGCCCTATCAACACCTTGATTTTAGCTCACTGAAGCTGACCAAGGACTCTGTCCCTCAGAACTGTAAGATAATACATTTGTGTTGTTTTAAGCTACAACATTTGTGGTAATTTGTAACTGTGGCAATAGGAAACCAATGCAATGGGCTACTGAAGCATCACTAAAAATCATAGTTTTAAAAATAAACAATGGATGTGGGATCATTATCAAGAGAAATGCTATTGGAATAGAAGGATTATGCTAGCTGATGTAGATGTTAAATCATGTTTCAGCCATCACCAAGATTCAACAGATAAAATATTCCAAAGTGAGGTAAAGGATCAAAATGCACATTTCTAAAGGAAATGGTTACCAAAAAATTACATGACTCTAATTCCTTGCCCACCTCTAGAGTATGAAAAGATCCAGTTTTGGAAATTAAGAAAGAGAAATTGGGAGGAAATTTCTTTGGAGAGACCTGTTGCTGTGGCGTGAGTGCCTTTCACACGGCCGTTTAAGAGTGTGTGTGTGTGTGTCTCTCTGTATTTAAGAGGATGATGCTTGAAACTGATCTCAAACCCATTGAGAAGAGTTTCAACAGGGCCACCTGAAAATCGGATATATGTTCCTTGCATTTGGGAGTCACAGAGTGGAAAATCTCAATGGAGAGGGCCAGCTTGGCCAGCTGTTCTAGGGGTGGGAGTCAAGAAGAGATGGGTGTGTTGGATGGCAATACTCCTGCAGGAATCAAAAATGTGTGTTTCCCATGGGCCAAAGATCAAGAGTGAGGGAGAACCAGTCTGGGGCTTCAGTCCTGTCCAGCAGTACTCCTGGAGAGAGATTCCTACATTGTGCACGCGAGAGGCCCCACTAGAGAGAAGCTGAAGGTAGAGTTGGTTTACGGCGGGCTGAGTAAAGAAAAAAACAAGGGCTGGAAAAAGAGAGAGAACATGACTGGCATCAAGACACCTGCAGATCAAAGCTCCTGGGGAGGCATGGTATGGGGCAAGAGTGTCCTGAGGAACACATAAAGGGCCAGTGAGAGCATGGGCTTTATACACCTGCCTGATCCAGAGAGTAGGAAGCCCACCTCTGACAGGGCTGGTCACATATGAGACTTCTAGCTCCTCCCCTGACTCCAATCCTAGAGGGGTGAGAAATTGACAAAAATTGGGAGAGAAGGGCAAAAACTGAGAGTGGAAGCTAACCACACTCCATTGGCCTTCAGCTTTTCTTGTGGCTGTCAGCCTAGCTGAGGAAGTAGAAAAGACCATTTTACATCAAAATCAAAGTTTCAATGATCATAAGGGGCTTGGAATTGTAATTTCTGAATTTCAGTTGCATATTTTGTAAAAAGGACCATGGGATCTCGGAACTCCTAGGAATGATCAGAAAAGTAATGGGATGCCCAGTGTTTTAAGGACAGGGGAAGAACTGTCTCTTCTCATTAATTTTAAAGAGACAGTGGAAGAGATGAAATAAATTTGCTTTGTGATTGTATCCCAAGAGTTGCTCTCGTCCAATCCAAGAAACGAGTTATATTACATTTTTTTTAAATGGGAGAAAGAAAAGGAGAAAAGAAAAATAAAAGAAAAGAAAATGAAACACAGCAAAATGTAAGTAGAGATATTTTGGGTTGGTAGATGATGCGTGGGTTTTATTTTCTATTGTGTTTTCTTTCCAATATTTTCATACATATTATCTTTTTAATAAGACAGATAATTTTTACATGCATCTACACCCTCCTTTACAAAAGACTCTATTCTTGGTACCTACATGGTATATGGGTTTATTAAATGAGCGTTCCAAAGAATGCTTGAGACAGATAAAAATGAAAAAGTCTCAGTCATTAAGGGACTGGAGGAATTTCTTCACTTTTAAATATCACAGTTTTGGATAAAAGTGTTTAAAGAAGCTTTCTGTGACTGATGCTATAGATGCTTTAGTATTAGACTGATGGTTCATTATGGAAAGAACCCACACATCGTGGGCAGGAAACAGTTGAACAATAAACTACTGGTGGCCCCCTAAACGAGCTGGCAGTCTTTAACTTTAGTTCATAAAACCAGGGTGGCATTTGCCAGAGGGACACAGAAAGCACCCAGAGAGATGAGAACTTCTGGATAATAGAGCAAATCTTCTAAGTAATCCAGAGTGTTAAAGAAACTATTTTTATTAACTCTCTGCAGCTGTAGCATCCACACTAGAGCACAAATGTGTGAAAATGCAAGCAGGAACACAAAAATAACTTGGAAAAAATCCCTACCTCCAAAAGGATTATTGGGAAGGCAAAGTGCAGAATGCATCTAAAATCCAGTGTTTATCTTATTGCAGGTGTTTTAAAAAGTTACTTTTCTTCCCTTCCCAAGTCTCCTCCTCCTCCCCAGCCCCCTTCATAAACATAGGGCACCTCACTGGGGTGGCTTGGCACCAGATGTCTCCTCGTCTCTGCTTTCTTTATTTCATTTCAGACTCTTGGGTGAATTGTCATGCCTGATATGGTTGATTTCAAAGCCAAGTTTAGATGATGTGAATAATTAAAATCATGAAACTTAAACTCTCAAGTGAAACATTTCTGAGTCCTGCACACAGAGGAAACTTGAATTGGACAGGCGAAGCCAAACCGCAGCCAAACGAAAAAGGCTACAAATCCAGCATTTTAGGTACCACAGAAAATTAAGCACAGCAGGCAGAAAAGCAGCAAAGTTTATCTTGAGTCTGGGCCAAGAGTGAGCCAGGAGGAATACAAACACACAAACAAAAACTCTCTAGCAAAATGTGTTATTCAACTAAGGTTTGGTGGATGCCAGTTTAACCTTTGAGTTGGTCCCAACTAGGTGATGATCTGTCTTCCAAGGCTACTGAGCAGACAAGAACTCGCAGCTGTAACTATGCAAGGCATGTATTGTCTTTAAATACAATAGTAAATTAAAGGTCCTTGGGGAGACCCAGAATAGTTCGTGTAGGGTTCTGTGGTTATCCTAGTGCCTGCACCCTTTAATTCTGCAAATGCACACGCTGGAAAGCTTAACGAAGATCCAACCTATTAGGCATGTGGCTTTTGTGGGATCTAAGAGCTCCTTTCATTAGACTAGAACATCCACAAGAAAAATACACGCACACACATCCACACACATACACACATGCACACAGACCCACAAGTTCATTTCAGCCATGCACGGATGCACAGACATGCATACACATTCTGATGCCCATTCTGACATTCACATATACACTGGCACACACTGGCATATGCATGATGTTCAAAAAGGTGGTATGAACATTCAACATTAAAAATATCATCCAAGAATTTCTTAATGGGGTAAAAAAAATTTTCATGTGATCTGAAGAAATATCTGATCCTAGTTTTAAGCGTTTGTCCCCTTTGGCTCTACTCATTCTCACTGTACTTTGCAGTATTTAGCATAATGAGCTCTCCTCGAACTGGAGAAAGTCAAACAAGTATTCTCTGAAACTATATTTCCAGAAATATATACAAGAATATGTATTGGCATAGGTTCATAGATATAAATAGGGTTTCCCATATCTATTGATAGAATTCTAATAGGTAAATAGTCATTTTTCTCATCCCCGCCAAAAATCAAATTAACTCTGTTCGTTCTCTCCAGTGGCTTATGAAAAAAAAGTGGAGTCGGGGAGAAAATCTTAGCAGAATTGCCAATAATTTTGCTTCCTTAGTACAGTCAAGGTCTATTGTATGGGTTATTACCTTAGAAAGTCTCACAACCACATACAAAGTAAATTATTCTTCGAGGACCCACTCAATGCCCCGAGTGTCCACTCCCATCGGTCAGCATTTTAAAAGCTGCAGGGTTCTCTCTCCAGGGGCTCACTATCCACGTGGTTACACACATCTCCACATCATTATAAATATTTGTCCCTACAACATTCACCAATAATGAGAAAAAGAGATTGCTATTTCCTCTACTTGGCAAAAGAGGAAATGTAAATGAGTCACTCCGGAAGTAAGAGGATGCACGGGAATGTTGGGACAAACTGTCCTTGCACTGGGCTGAGCCCTCTGTACCACGTGCAGTGCAGAAATATTCACTTACCAGCTGGGAAAGTACATGAACTGCCTCGTTAGGCTTAACCCTGATGGTTAGAGAAAAGCTTTGCATCTCCAGGACTGGCATTATTTTAGAACTGTAACCAACGTTTAGTAGTTTTTCCCCCCCCTTAATCAACCTAGATGAGATGTTCTGCGGTTGGGCTGGCAAAACGGCAGAGCAAAGCTGGAAGGGACGCTTCTGATTTTAGTTTGGCAACGGCTGCCTTGGGGCCTACTGAGAGGATCTGCAGCAGTGTCAGTCACGCCGAGGCAAACGTGGTGATAACGCCGAGGCAAACATGTGGTGATAGCAGGAGGATTCTGCCTGGGCCTCATGCTCAGTTGGCACTCTGCCCCATGTTCTGGAAGAAGGAGTGAATATACCACTACACACCTCCATCCTTTTCCTCATGTGCCTTCACAACATGTAATTAAACACCTCTGACTCACCTCCTAAGCTGGACTTCAGTGAGAAGTGTACATCCCCAGTGGTATCTTCATTTTCAGATGCTTAGCCACCATATGTTGTTTCATCACTGCAGACAAAGCCACAACTTGACCACAGCCTACTAAATCTATATGTCCAGCCATAATTCCACGCTGAGTCCCAGGCTTATATCTTGAACTTTTGGCTGAACATCTTCACTGGCATGTTCTTCAGGCACCACAAACTCAGCATATTAATAAATAGAAACTATTTTCCCCCGATATCTCCACCTCCCCACCAAAAACCTTCGTGCGCTCCTTAACTTACAATGGGGTTATGAGGATGGGTTTATCGTGATGTAACCCCATCATAAGTTGAAGAGTGTACTGAATGTGTATCACTTTTGCACTATCCTAAAGTCAAAAAAAACATAAGTGGAACCATAGTAAGTCAGAAACTGTATTTAGCAGAGTAAGATTCAGCCAACATTTTTCTGTAAAGAGAGAGATAGCCAATTTTTTTGTCTTTGTGGACTATATGGTCTTTGTCACAACTACCTGTCTCTGCCATTATATTGTGAAAGCAGCAATAGACAACATGTAAATGAATGTGCATGGTCGTGTCCCAATAAAACTTAATTTACGAAAACAAAGAGTAGACTGGATTTGTCCTGTGGGCTGTGAACCACCCACTTGTAAGTCACTGAACAGTCACTAAACCCAGAAACCTGACAGTCACTAAACCCAGAAACTCCTAAGTCATTTTAGATTCCTCTTTTCCCCTAATCTTCACACCTTCAGTAAATTTACGAAATGTTATTAGTCTTTACCTCTTAAATAGATCTCTTTTATTCCATCTTGTTGTCATTGCCTTTAGATTAATTACACTAATTTGTGCTATTAGTTTATTTATTGAACAGGACCAACTACTATGGGCAAAAACAAAACATCATATATGGTCACCATCCTATGGTCTCCATTGCTTTTATTTTTTTAATTCCGCAAATATTCAGTGGATACCTATTGGGTAACACATGTTATACCAACCAGACAGGTCAGGGACGAATAACAAAAATATAGTCCTTCCCTCACAGAGCTCCCATAAAGCATAAAAAATATTACTTTAAAATCTATAAAATATCTCAAACAATCTCTGAAAGTGGTTTGATTTTATCTACTTCTCAAAAAGTTTCCCAAAATTAAAAGCTAACTCATAAACAGAATTTGTCAAACACTTACTAAAGAGAAATAAACTATATATAAACAACCAGTTGTTTAAAGTACATAATGAGCACAAAAGCAAAAAATCTTACTTATCAAGAGTAAGGTATTCTTTATCCTGTAATAATTGCTGTGGCATGTATTAAAGAATTGGAGATATTCTTACCTCGCCTTTCAGCATTCATATCAAACTGTGTTTGTATTGATGGAAATTCCTAAATAAATTTAATTCATCACAGAAAAACCATGGCATCTTGTTAGGTATGAAATGTGTTACTATTATGGAAGTTATAACTCCACTAGGATAAATAAAAGGGGAGGAGTGAAGAGCATTATACAAAGTCCATTTTTGTTAGAGATTGTCCAGAAAATCTTCAAAAATCACAACTGGGATGCTTTGAGACACAAAATTATAACATATTAGGCAGAAGTTGTCTTTTGCAGCTAGAGAAAAAAATACCTGTGGGGCATAATTGTATATATTTATATATAATTTTTTAATTTATTATATATAATGTATAATATATAATATCATAATAAAGATAAATATTGGTAAATATTTATTAAATATATAAATATAAATATATACATATATAATGGATGCATATCATATACTAAGTATACAATATACTATATATAAGTATATATTATATATATAGTATACAAAGTACATGTTATACAACTATATATTAAATATATAAAATAAGCATATGTTGTATATAAAGTATATTTATATATATTGTATATTATATATTTATATAGTATCTATTATACATTTTTATACAAATATACATATATGTGTGACAGATTACATTTAGCTTTAAATGTAGCCCCAGAATGAAAACTGTAGGGGGTGTTCAATTCAAGCTAAGTCCTTCCAACAGTTACAATTGTGCATAAAGGGAACAGCCTTCCTGGGGCAGGAAGGGTTAGAGATGCACGTGATAGACCCCATGGCCTCCTGGTAGGATTCCAGAATGAGCACACCAGCATTGGCAGGGGCTGGCCTAGCTGTCCTCTGAGGCCCTGAATTGTGTGAGAGTGGGAGGGCTTTGAAGAAATCATTGTGCATGAGAATATGAAGTGACTGGAGAGATCTCATTCACCCTGACAGAAATGAAATACAAACAAGAACGTGCTAACGCTTTGATAGAGGGGGCATTCGTGAACACTGTGAAATAGTTGGCCTAAAATATATAGATGCATGCTTTCCCTCACAATGGCATTTTTCACAGGGACAAATGAATAGATTCTAAGGTTCAACATGGGTTCTAATATTTCCCAGCATTTGATCATTAAGAGAGTGAAGCAGATAAGTTTATTTTGTTGGCGCTGAAGTCATACTGCGTTGAAATCTTGCCTCCAGAATTTACTTTATATGGAACCTTGAAGAAGTTATTGACATTGGTAGGTTATATTTGTTCAGTATGTTCACTGGACTTTCCCTACCAAAGAATCTTACTACTTGCCTCATTAATGTCAGACTTGGCCATGTTATTTGCATTGGGCAGTGAAATTGAGATGAAATAAGTGTCAATGTGTCATTTCTCAATGTGTAGCTTTAGGAGCCATTGCATGTTTTAGCTGCAAACTATTCCACCTGCCAAAAGACAGCTAGGTTACATATAAGAGCAACTCTTTGAATGTGAAAGAGAAAAGAAGTGATGTTAACCTATGATGCACAAATAACATGAGAGGGAAATAAAGCTTTACTGTTGTATGTCAGTGAGATCTGGGGCTGTTTGTTACTATAGCCTAACTTAGCTTATACTGTTTAATATGCTATTTAAGAAACCACTCTCAGATTTCCTTTCTTTAATATAGGAATAATGTAAATATATATTTTAGAAAACTGTCGGAGAAAATGAATTAATTCATGCAAAACATCTGGAACAGAATCTGGCACAGGGTGAGCACTAAATAAATGTTACTTATCATTATACCTAAACTACCCCAAAAATTCTGAAATTAATGCCCACAATTTCTCAGTACACATGTTGTAATTATTGCCAGACATGCCAGTAATAATCATCAGGAACAAAGAAGATCCCACCAGTATATTAATTTAGCAAGACAGTCCTGAATCAGCTTTCACAAAAGACATTTTATTGCTCAGATAACGTGTGAAGGCAAGGTGTACGAACACTATGCTGGGAGTGAGGAAAATTTGGTATTAGTACCTCCCACTTTCTGGGTTAATTTCCTCCTCTTTAACTAAGGATGTTGCACTAGATGGTGTCTAATGCCCTGGCAACTTATATGTCCAATGTCATTCTAGCAGAATACATTTCAGCATTACAAACAACACATTCAGAGAATGAAATCGTAGAAGGCAGCCCTGGCATGCATTTGTTTATTCCAGCTCAGCAGTGGTGGGAATTTGAATTCCAGGTGTCCAAGCAAAGTTCTGGAGCCCAGAAAGACTCTGGAGCACACCCAGGAGATGCCCCTGCTTTCATGGGCTCCCAAGACTTGCAGGGGTTCGCAAGCAAGGAGCCAGGCCTTTGTATTCTAACTTCATCTGCATTCTGTGGCCAAGTCTTCTGGGAACTCTGACTGGCATGTTTGACAAACATATTCCCCTCGTTTGTATCCCCAAAGCACTGGCATGCGGGTAATAATCCAACACCTGCCGCAGAGGGGCAGATCAAACTGAAAAGGCCCCTGACTTCTCTAATTTTTATCACTGGGATTTCACAGTCAGTCTGTAAGAGTTCACATAATAGCTGAGTGGCGAGTTTTTAGCCACACTTTCACTTAATTTTTAAAAATTTTCCTTAAGAACTTCAATTTAAAAGAAATACAACACCCTATGCTGCTAAGTTTGTAGTAAAAAAAGAAGAAAAAAGGGCTTAGGAAAGCACTGCTGGTGGCAGTGTAAATTGATAAAAAATTTTTTGGAAAGGGGTTTTATAATACCTACCAAGAACAGCAAAATACTTCATTTCATTAGACCAAGTGACTCAACTCCAGGAAATTTATTTTAAGGATCAAGTTCCCTAAAAGTGTAAGTGTGAGGTAGAGGAAACAAAATACAAAACTAAATTTGTCACCTTCCATACTGGTGAAAAACTAGAAACAACTTTAAAGTCCTCAAATAAACCAGTTAAATAAATTGTGCTATATCCCCTCAACTGAATTTGAGACCGCAAATACAATTATAATTTAAAATATTACGCATTCCTGGGAAAAGGTCTATGACACAGAGTTAAGGGGGAAAAGCAGAAATACCATGTCTCTGTATGAAAAAGGAACACACAGTTAACATGCTCGATGTATTAGAATGGAAAAATAATTTGTAATTCTTCCATCTTATTTATTTATTTCTGGCATGGTTATGCTATTGAATATTCAAGAAATAAATCTTTATAGGTAGAAAAGGTCAGAGAAGGGTCTTAAATTCATTTGGTTCTTTTTTTTTCTACCCTCTTAATAACTTGTACTATACTGTGTATTCTCTGTTGGGGAAATATATTTTAGTACTGTACATGAAGTATTATAGACCTATAGGGTTTTAAAAATATATTTGGTGTTTTTGAAAGAGAGAGCATATTGAATTCATGAATTTATTTGTACTTCCAGTTTAATTGCAATGCAGTTTGAGTATTTTTTTAAAATCCCAAGCCAAGGCAAACTGGCCATAATTTACAAAATGTATAACAACCATTTTCATTTTTCACTTCTAAAGTCAATACTTGTATAAAAAGAAGCCTGGGAAACATCACACAGGCAGAAGGAATCATCAAAACACGGCAAAGTGTGTTGTATTATCCTGGGGTGACCATTAGTTTCTATCTGCTGTGAAGAAGGCATCTTTGCCAAAAGCAATTTCACTGACCAAGATATCAGCACAGGGCATTGCTTTTCCAGAGAGTCTTATTTAGCCAGTGCAATTCAAGACCCTCTTTTCCCTTTTCTGCCAACTCCCACTTCCTGAAACCAATCCTCAGTTTCACTTTGGAGATGAGATTCCCATTCTCTCTGCTAAGAAACTCATGAGAGCAAGGCTTTTATCTTTGAAGGAACGTGCCTGTGCGGGAAGCCAACACCCATCAGACTAACAGTGACTCAGGTCTATTAAATATGGTAACACTCAGAGAAGGCGTGGCATAGGGGGAGAACTTTCTGGGTTACATAGTCAGGGTTGTGAAGGAAAGGGGGTTAAGATTGCGGTTTATCTCATTGCTTGGTTTCACAACCTTGACCAATGTCACTTATGTTCTCTGACCCTTGGTTTCCTCTTTCATCAAAGAGTGATAATAAACCCCATTTCAACCAAGTTACCATGATGATTGACCAAGATAACACATGCAAAGCATCTGACAGATAGTAGACACTCAGTAAACAGTATCAATTGTTATTATCTCAAGTATTTCATTTAGCAAACATAACTAGGGCAATCTACCTCTTAATATGTAAACCAACTCTAATGATCAATAAAAGGTCAACTGTATCATTGCTCCATTGCTCCATTCTGATTTTTTCCAAGTAATTTTCACTGAACAGCACCTATTTATATAATGTACATATGTTTGAAATTGCAAGGGTGAATAGATAGAGAAGGGGGAGAAGAAATACTAAGAGAGGAAGCATGGGCTAGGTAGTTTATAATTTATCAATATAAGAAGACACATAACAATTTCTATTTTCAAAAATATCATCATAAAACTAAATAAATACCAGTTTATTTGAGACTTGAAGAAATATTTTTGTTGGTTTTGTGGCACTTAATACTTTCAGGTGTTATTTAATTTTGGCATTTGAATGCTAAATCTTTTCAAGACAAATGATTGATGTATCTACTAGTTTTACAGTGAATATATTTCAGCTGTCCATCATTCAGCTCTTCTGACAACTGGGGTCTGTGGGCAGGGGCCAAGGGAAGAATTTCCCATCGTGCATTTTCTTGGTAGTAAATGAAAGGTACTCTCCTCTCCCTTCCTTGGTAGCAAGGGTGCATGCAGATAATCTAGATTGAGCCAAGGACACATTCCACCTAGGAGATTAGAATCAGAAGCAAGAGGTGCCAAAAAAGAAGCAAAGTTGGAACTGACTGTGGTAGCATGCAGCAGCCATGGTGTCCAATGTCAGTGCCCCGTAGTGGCTGCAATGATGGACAGTCCAAAGCAATGTCTAACAGCAGTGGAAACCAAGTGTCACCAGCTGCAGTGGTGTCCAGCAGCAGTGCTTACTTACTCTTGATAAGTAAGATGTGTGGTACTGGTCTAAGGACCTATTGCTGCCTGGCTTCCAGATGTTCTTTGAATCTTGCCTATGCTCCAAAACTACCTCTGCAAGTTTCTACCAATTATAAAAATTATCTTTTTTCCTCCCCAAGTGAGTTAGATACTCTTGCTTGCAACCAAAAGGTCTGGCCAGCACACGATTTTTCTCCCTGTGAACTGTCTCTAACACCCCGTGTCTTATTCCCTATGGGATCCTGCCTAATCCAGATTCCATATATATATATATATATATAAAATTATATATATGTGTGTGTGTGTATATATATATATATAATTATATATATACGTGTGTGTGTGTGTGTCTGTGTGTGTGTGTGTGTGTGTGTGTGTGTGTGTGTGTGTATATATATACACTCTCCATCCAGGTCTCAGACTTCAGTCTTTATTGGTCTCTCCTCTTGAAAACTGCCAGAATTAAGGACCTCACTTAAAGAGGAGTTGAAATGGATGATTAATTTTATATGTTGATGTTTAACTGTGTTCATGCTTCTCGTAGACCTAACAGCCTGTTTGGCCCTGTATCTCTTCACTTATATTGCTGTGTTTTGTCTCTGCCCATCTGTTCACAGTTCTTAATTTATACTTATACATAACATGTTTGGTGTATGCTAGGGCTAAATTGTGTACACTAGGGCTAATGCCAAATTCTTTTAGGGCATTGAATGCACACATTTATCATACATTTGTAAACACAGTCCTCATAACTTTTGGGTTGGTTTCCTTTCATTTTTTCAGAATTCAGCCATTGTGCAGTACCCACCCAGTGTAGTCACTCTGCCAGAAATGAGCTGAGGGTCTGTCCCAGTCAACAAACACAAAAACCACAATTCAAAATGATTGACATGAAGATCCATGTAACGGCCTTTTAGGAATGCAACTGGGTTTAATGTAGTGAAAATGACTCTTAGAGACTTCCTCTTCCTTAATTTTCTACCCTATTTTATAAACTGGGAACTACCATCCATTCACAAACATTAGGAAGTAGTCCCTCTACCCTTGATTCTGTATCTCCAACACCCAACCCATCCTCAGAAAGTAGAAAAGATTTCTCTGAGCAGTTTCGGCTTTTCTGTCTCTTTTCGGGGGGTGGGGGGGGGGTGTATGTGTGTGTTTATTGCTTTGCATCTGCCTCCCAGTGGAAGCACACCTGGATCAGAGCCCTGAGTCAGTTCTGGAGACCAACATCTCTCTGTTCTTATTCAGAGGCCTTTCAGGTGTGAGGGGCCATGCTTCCTTGAGGCTAAGCTGTCTTGTTAACTAACCCTGTTTACTGTACTAGGGCAGCTCATTCCAAAGTCTAGATGTAGGGAAAAGTAGAAGAAAGCCTGTTCAAGCTACATTCTCTCACCCAACATTACTAGTAAGAGAAAATGATTTTGATCTCCATCTCTCTGACTTCTCTATTTCCCAACTGGTTTCAAACACAATGTGTGTATACGCATCCCCAGTGAGGTTACAAGAGGTGTAGTGAAAGATGCAAGTAGCTTCCATGCATTAACCCTACTGTAGGTAGAACTGTATAGAAGTCGCTTCAAACTAAAAGAGAAAAAAATAAAAGTAAAGGTTAATGTATTCTATTTTCTCTGTAATGCCACAAATTTTATTCTATTTCCCTGCATCATTTGGGCTGCAAGATGGCTTTCCTCATACAGTATGCATTACATTGCTTATTTGACATTTACTTAGAACCTACTCTGCACCAGGCTGAGAGGTGGACACCGGAGTAATCCCTCAGAATGCAAGAATGAATGCAAGTGGCAAGGGATGGGGCTGGGAGGGAAGGGGTCACATTAAGAAGGACCTTAAGTAAAGTGCTAAGGAATTTTGGCATGACCCGAAAGCTAATAGTTACTTGATATCTCAGCCACCCACTTATCAAAGAAAGTCTGTGACCTGGGGTGGTGGCGGGGTCGGGGGGGTGGTGGCTCCAAACTGATTCTTAGAGCCCTAGGACTTCATAGATGGCACTTAGGGGTCAGTCACTATGAGGGAAACGCCAAATAGAAGGATCCTGGGTTCCAGCAAATCCATTCAAGACACCCCCATTTTCATCTGTATTGTATACTGATGTGTTATGTAAGAATTGTTCTGAAGAAAGAGCTAAATATCAAACTTACTTTTTAAGGTTAAAACTGTATTTAATAGTCCCATTGAAGATTCATCTACAAGCAGCCATCTTTAAAGACTCAACTTATTTTATATGTCAAAGTGTGAATCTCAATTTGCATCTCCAGGTATCCCAGAAATATCATATTTTTTGCCTTCTCTTGAAATAAAATTAAATGTGACCCCAAGCTATCATTCTACCAGGATGGCAAAATGCCCAATCTCAGTCACAAGGGGTTGTCCCCTTTCCCCACAAAGCCACATCAAAATCCCCCAAAGAGGAGGGCTCTTTAATTTTTAGTCCACCAGGGTCATCATGAACATCTTCACTGTCTAAGCCTAAAGCATGTCCCTAAAGCTCAGCTGCTTCCCTGCCATCCATGCCCGGAATCCTACCTTCTATACACACAAAGCAGCCAATCCCTCCCAGGTTTGGTCATTTTCCTAGAAAGCAAAACAGAGCAGGGCATAAGCCTGGGCTAATCATTGGACTTATAGCCCTTCTCCATCTCTGAGATACCCTCTCCACTCCCTGCTCACATTTTCCAACTCTTCCTTCCATTGAGGACATTTAGTATAATGCTTTCAGTTAAGGATTTAGCAAAACACAAAACAAAAAAAGAAAAATATATATATACAAAAAACAAACAAAAAAACCCTTGTGGTCTTCTAGAGGCTTCTATTTGCCATATTGAAAAACTTCAAGAAAAGTGAAATTAATTACAACCTGCTACCTGCCTGAATTGGAGTTCAGGGAAAATAACATAAAGAGCAAAATCGCATGCTGACACTTCAATAATGTAAAATGCATGGTTTTGTTTTGACATCATTATATAAAGTGTCAGTTTTGTCTTCCTAATCGCTGACTCCCCTTCCTGGAAAATAACAATTTTGAATAACTGAAGAAATTAGTTGGCTCAGCATTTAGTCACCCCGGGGACTTGTGACCTTTTTTATTTTCTGTTTCAAACAGGGACAAAATCATCTGCCCAAGGGCAGCCTTCACAGAAGCTCCCCAGGAGGAAGCACAGCATAGCATTACAGGCTGGACTGTGCAGTCTGGGAAAGGTTTCCCTCTCTTTCTGACCCAGGGCTCTCAGCAGGCACTGTGTGGGACCAGGTGACTCTCAAAGTCTCTATTGTTGTCTCAGCTCCTCAGTCTTGGTGGGAAATCAGCCAGCTGAGACACTGAACTCTTCTGGACCAGAAACGGCACTGGAGTCCTTGGCTGTAAGAAGGGATGGACTGGGAACAGTACATCTGCAAAAGTGTAAAGCCAAGAAATGTTTGAAAGCCCCACTAAGAACCAGACTGAACCACCAATATGATCTGGACGAGGAAGAGGAAACCAGGTATAAGAAAGTGCTAAGCTGGCAATACCAAGACAGAAAGAGCTTCAGAATGTGCATTGCCTGTCTGTAAAGGGTGCAGGTTGGGAGTGAAAGCTGCTACATCAGGATTCTGACAGTCATAGGGGACAAGGACAAGGCTGACACATCCAGCTCCTCTTGGGTGAGGTCCCCAAGAGCATTCTTGGTCCTTGCCCCACCCCTCACTCCACCTAATGGTGCTGGGGCATGTTACCTTTTTGGTGGACTACAGCCATTGATCTCAGTTAAATGGAGCTAATTTTCTCAAATATCTTTAGTGTCAGAATAGATCTCTTTCTCTCTTCATGGCCACCAGGACTCGTGGGAAGGAGACAATAACTTGGGCAAGCATATCTGCTGTGCAAACACAAAGTTGCCCTCAGGTGGGCAAAGTTCAGACTCAGAGCTAGGGAGTTACATTCCATTTTGGCACTTACATGAAACTACCACCTCAAAATAGCTTTATCTGTACCAAAAGTGGTATTTTGGTTCTCCAGCCACTGACACATTTGTCTGTTTTTTTGAATTCTTCAAAATGGAGACAGGGGAGGGCATACCATTCATTAGGCACCTTGAAAACCTTGACAATGGTGTCAGACTTGGCTGAATTGGATTGAATCGGTATTTAGTCAGAGGCAGGCAAGGGCTTCAACAGTTGGAACGCAGCCCCTGGCCAGACAAATGCCTTCCTGTCCTTGAAGATGTAAGCCCCAAGACCGACCATGACAGCAAAGTACAGAATAAATCACTAGCAGTTCCCAGCAAAGCCCAGGGATAGATAGAAGTGCCCCAGATCATCAATAAGTGAGAGCTATGATATCCTCACTTCACGGGTAGTCAATTTCAAGGAGGAACTCCAAAGACGGCATTACTAGAAGGAACACAAGTTTTCCTAAGAAACAGAAGAAATTAACATTTATTAACTTTCTCCTGTGTGTCAAAAACTTTCTACCTATTGCCTTATTTGAGCCTTAAAACATTCCTACAAAGTAAACATTATCTCATTTTTCACAAATGAGATGGGTGATTTGCCCAACGTCATCATGTAGTAAATGGTGGAAGTGAAAACTGATGCCCAGTATCCTGACTCCCAGTGAAGTGCTCTTCTTATTACACGCTGTCCAGAAAAAGACCATCTCCAGGGAGCCGCCCATCATTTTGATACCTACATTCAGGTGTGCTGGTTAGAAGAAATCAGTGATATTGACTCACAGTCACCCCTTAAAGAAACATCCTAATTATAGCCAAGGGCCTGGGAAACACATGGACCAAGCTACCCATCGTTAAATCAAAATAAGAGCTTATTACGTCTCTCCCAAAGAAGAAGAGAGTGTGATTATATGGCTGCCTATTTATTCCTCAAACCCCATTTTGAAAGTTGTCTTTGAAATCGGTGGAGAGTACTTTTTAAAAATTCCCAAATTGCTGCAGCCTTGGTCCAAGGTTTCCAACAGGACACAGATGGGCAGCAAGGCCAGTCTCAGTGGTCAGGCTTCCCACTGGTGGAGCTTGTGCCAAGCAGCTCATTCATGGTCTGCTGAGGGAGTGGTGACTCATGATACAACTGCTTTATTTCAGCTTCTGGAACCACAGGAATACATGGTTTCAGAATAGAAAAGACCCACTGACCATCAGAGAGAGTTCTTCTCTGGACAACTGTATAGACTCTCTGACTTACACCAAATTATAGGCAGCCAGAGCATCCCAGAAAACACTGTCAGCATCTTCCCCGGGGGCTCATCCAAGTTTTTATGTTATATCAAACCAGGTTTGGTGTAGCAGTTTTAAGGGCCTAGGGGAAATGATTTAATTCATTCATTCATTCATCCTATACTCCCAGAGAACTGATTTGTTCTAGCTTCTGGAAATATTGAGTTTGGAATGAGCAATATTGGTGATAAATATATATATATAGTCCTTGTCCCGAGTAATGCCAGATGTATAGTAGATAATAAATATTTATTGAATAAGAAAATGCTCTTGAAAGCCACATTTGAAAGAGAACATAAATAAGTACATGTTATTTTACTGCTATCGTAGGATTATTCTCAAAGTAACAAAGCAAACAGAGGATAAAATACTTAATTCTGCTTTTGGTTGGTGGAAAGGGACTGATCTTTCAGAGAAAGCTACTGAAAGAAAAAACCCATTTGAGCTGAGTTTTGAAGCATGAATAGGAGTTTGGCAAGCTTATAAAAGGGGAAAAGAAACCTGGGTAAAGGAAATGCTATGTACACAGTAATGAAGGTGGACAAGAGGATAGTGTGTTTGGGTGCCCACCAACATTCCTATGGTAAAAGATTGCAGCATGCATGGGGGCGGGTGAGGTTTTCAGGAACGCAAGCGGTGAAATCAGCAGGACACCCGGCTAAGCTAAACAGCCTGGGCTTATCCTGTAGGCAGTGGCACAGGGAGCCATCCTGCCCAACATTACTTTTAGGAAAGCAGTTTCAGAGCAAATATGGGTGACTCAGCACAATCTACTGGCATCTCTGGGAGCCATGCTCAGCCCTTCCCTTGTGCTGGTGTGTGGGCGTGATGTCTCTGTGCAAGGAGACCACCCACCTGGTGTCATGGCACACATCTGACTTTGATGGGGATTTCTCTAAGCCCCATGGCATGAGTAAAGCTTATTTGGAAATATGAAGGCAAAGTTCTCTCATGCTTTTACTCACACTTTTGTTCTTTTTTTCCCCCATTTGGTTCACATTTTTATATTACCATCACAGAATTGTTTCTCTCTGCTGCCTCTAGTTCTCCATCTGAAAAACCATCATCTTTGACATCTCTTTCTCTGATTGGCAGATAACTCTACCCCCACTTCAAAGCCTAGTCCAAATGCTGCCAGGCATTTTGGTCAGCAACTGCTTAATAGACACCACTGACACCTCTCTCACCCAAGCCCTGCAGCAGAAGGGAGCCGTTTTAACGTGATTCTCCCACCAGGCACTCTACAGCCACTCCCCTCCAGACTCTCACATGAATGAATCTCCTCACCAAACCTTCTGGATATCACCTCTCACACACACACCTTGAACATGATGCACATTGACCGAAACCTTGAATACAGGTAGAAGGACATAAGTATTAAGAAACTGAAAGAATGTAATAGAGGGCTGGGTGCGGTGGCTCATGCCAGTAATCCCAGCATTTCGGGAGGCTGAGGTGGGCGGATCACAAGGTCAGGAGATCGAGACCATCCTGGCTAACACGGTGAAACCCTGCCTCTACTAAAAATACAAAAAATTAGCTGGGCGTGGTGGTGGGCGCCTGTAGTCCCAGCTACTCGGGAGGCTGAGGCAGGAGAATCGCTTGAACCCGGGAGGCGGAGGTTGCAGTGAGGTGAGATCCTGCCACTGCACTCCAGCCTAAGTTAATAAAAAAAAAAAAGAATGTAATAGAATATGTGCAAAGAGTGGCAATCATTTATTCAGTATTACTGAGGATTATTTCCATATTTATTAACCAATAATAAGATAGACAGCAATGTGAAGGCTCCAGACATGGAGAGATTCATGAGGGAGAACACAGAGAAGAGGAAAGCCTGCTGCCAAGAGAAAGGCCAATTCTCTTTCTTCCTTTTGTAATCACACAGTCTATTGACGTCTCTGCCCAGCAATAGTATCCCATAGTCTTCCATCCACTGGGATTTCATTCCTAGTGCTTCTATTCTCATTCCTCTTTCCTAACAGAATCTCCAAGGAAGGGAGAAGCTGATCCATCCAAGAAGATTTATTCTATGGGAAAGGCATCAAACACTCCTCATAGCTACTGTGTGGTAAGCCTTAAACAAGTCCTATTTCCTTAACATAAATCTGGAAGGCAAGAGGAAGCCATGGAAGGTGTGAAAGAGGGAATAATATCATCCAGGTGGTGTTTTAGAATTTGTGGCAGAGGCTTTTGGTCTTCCCTGAGCTCTGGCTTCTCATGCTGGCAGAGCATTCTAAAGGAGAGCTTGAAATGATAAGAAAATGATCACAGATGCTCAGGTGAATAGCACTGATCCTAAAATTGGGATCACATCTGTTCTCCAGTGAGAGTTTGCAAAACTCTGAACACCTTGTCCCGACACCATCTGCTCCATCCCCCTTCCCCACCTGATAACCTTTTACCAGGCTGGTAGTCGATCCCAGGGAATCAACCATTCCTCAACTCACTGGGGGCTTGATGTGGAATTGGAGCAACTCCTTTTTGCCCTCTCTGGCCCACCTTGAACTTTCTTGTCCTCACACCCTGCAGCCCTGCTACCAGCTCCTCTGCCCTCAGTTGTGTGTTGACCCAACCAGTAGCCTCTTTCATCCCAAGGACCTGTTGACCATCCCTTTCTTTGCTCTCATTCTGACTTCTCCTCCTCTCCTGGTCACTTTCTTCTTTTTCTATCAGGCATTCATTCAACAAGAGTTATTTCGCACCTACTCTATAGTGAGTACTCTGCTAAGGGCTAGGGATACAACTGTGGAAGCGCTCTCCAGAGTTTCTGCCCTCATGGAGCACAAGAAGAGAAAAGTAAACCGATGTGGAAGCGGCTAAGTTTGCATTGGAACAGGGGGAACACAAGGAGCCATGCATGCAGATAGCCATCCTAGTGTGGAAACTCGGGAAACAAAAGGACCAGAGAAATAACAAAAGTTAGATGAAAACTCAGCAGATGCCATGAGTATAGGTATGAATGTTAAAGTCACTTGAGTCAACCAGGAGTGAAGCTGCAACTTTAATTTCATAAAATTTAATCAAATTCATAGCAAATTTAGTTGCTTCTTTATGTAAACTTGACCAATTCAAGATAGAAGCTCAGCTAGCTCAAGATGTTTTCCTCCTTTTTTTTCCTTCCTCTCCCAGCATTATGTAAGCTGGGGTGATGATGGAGAAGTGTAGCGGGGATTGCAGCAGTGGTGTGGGGCCGTATCTGAGCCACAGCCCTGCCTCTGCGCCTTCCCTGCCTCCCCTGCCACTCCGCTGCCGCCATGATGCCAGGGCCACTCCTGTCGCATCTGAGTTCCTCCTCCTCACTCTTCTCCTCACTCTATCTCTTAAAGCCCCAAACTCCAAGTTTCTGGATTCTCTACTTCCAGAGGATGTAAAACACAGTTAACAACCAAACAATCTCTCTTTTTGAAAAGGATCCTTTTAACTTTTTATGCAGAGCAACCTATCTTCCCTTTGTCTTAACACCTCCTCTTCATTCTAGGTCCAAGGTCTTATTTGAATAACCAATAGCCTAATCAAAATGTTTTCACAACAAAACAGCAATATTTTTTCCAAGGCAAACTCAGCTTAAGTATATAAATAGCTACAGTTCCTTAAAAATGGACTTTGCTTTTCTTTTGTTCTACTACATGGAAAAAGGTTAAAGTCCAAAGTCCATTCTCTTTCCCCTGAACCATGCAGCTCTCCAAGCACAAAGCCGACTTTTCTACAGAAGGATTTTAGTTTCAGTTGTTTGTTCAGTTGCCCTGGGTTCCTAGGGGATTAAATATTGCATAAATTATTGGGGGAAATTTGCCTACAGATCCTTAACAACGGTTAAAAAGCCCTGCATCTCACATGATCTACTTTGCATCTTTCCAGTGGCACACATTCTACTGGTTGTACCATTATCATGATAGAGATCAAGATATAAATATCAAGGATTAAAGGGTTGTATGCTTTTCTAGGTTACCTATGCCTCTGTTCTTCTCTTATCACAGAAAATGAAAAGTTAGCTCTCTCCCATCTATTTAAGACAGCATGTTTTCAGAGAACTGTCTCCTTAAACAGTTAAAAATCAATCAACAATATAAATAGAGGAGAACTCAAAACATGGTTATGCTTTATCCTATAATTAATTTAATTTCAAGAGAGGTGCTGTAGGTTCAATCCCAACAGCTCAATACCTATTCCACCTGAACAAGTGACACCAGGCATGGGTAAATCAAGTTGGAGAGCTGCTTGTGAGAACAGCTCTGGAGTGGAAAGCTTTCTAAGGCCAAGGTTAAAGTGGAAGGAATGTTGCACAAGGCAACCTAAGGCAGCTTGACCAGATTGTCAAGGTTTTCACCAAGGAACCAAAAGTATTTGAACATCAATAACAGGACACAATAGCAGAGCAGGTAGTGATATCACTGCCATGTGAAAGGCATGAATTGCTAGTGAGGGGTGGCACCAGGGTAAAGACACAATACTGAGCTCTAAGGAGCACTGGCCAAAAGCTAGAACTACTGCGTGCACTCTGCTTCAGTGCCCACCCTCTAGGAGCCTGGCTGACAAATGGCTTCTCCTGAAGACATCCTTAAAGGTCAGTCTGACTCTCTAAGAAGAAACAGGAGCAACACACCCTCCACGTAGTGTGCATGCAGTCAGCTGCATTCCTAGGGCCATGTGGTCCCCATCACTCACCGTCCAGGCCTGTGCTAAACTATAAATTTTTTAGAGAAAGATTCCAGATAAACACAAGCTCCTTGTTATCGGTGCAAGTTCAGAGCCCCTTAAAGAATGATGAACAAATTATTTCCTTGTTCAGCCGCACAAAACTCATGAGTTGTGCTCACATTTCAGGATTAAAAACTATGAAGTGTGCAAGCAGTCAAACTAGGCTTTGATGTATGCCCTCTAAACAGTAAAAGTTTATAATCCACCTGCCCAGAGGTAATCCTGGTATTCTGAATGGGAAGCAGAATGGCCCTGACACTCTGTTCATTCAGCCATGGACTCCAAAACATTTGGTTGTGCCTCAAACCCATTTGCTCTTTAGCACTTGAAAAAATAAAATGGAGAGAGAGGGATGATTGTATAACCGTCTCACATTCATAGTCCTATTTATTTCTTTTAAAAACTGGAATTAGAGCATTAACCCATTTTACATGATTCCTTCAAGGTCACACAGCTGGTGTTATGGATTTAGAAGTTAAATCCAGATCCCAAAACCAAACATCTACCATGCACCATGTCCAAAAATGTCCTGCCAAAAGGAGTGTCTGAAGGATAGGAAATATGGCTTATTTCTCATGGTTTAATATCAGGGATATCAGGATTTCACAGATAGTGCTAGCCTTGGGTAGAATGTGTGATTCTTTTGAAGTAAAGCCAAGGTAATGGGAAACACTGAATATTTCTTTGTAGGCATCCCTTCTTTGGCTCTCTCAAAGTCAAGCTTCTTAAGTAAAATGGCACGTTCACAGCATTTTTGCTTTGTTGAGTCCAAATGACCCAATGAAGCAGCAATCCAGAGTGAGGCAGGAAGAGGCAGAGTTCCAGGCATGTCCAGTGACCCAGCATCACCTCCATCCCAACCAGGACCTGCTGCTGCCAGGGCTACAGATGAGTCAGTCTCGTTCCAAACCAAATGGTAATTAAGAAGGGATGCATTTTCAGACTGCTGTGGTCTGGTATTCTTCTGGCAACTTTTGAAGGCTGTCAAAGCTCTGCCAAAGATAAAGAGAAGGAACTCCTATTTATTGGTTGAGTGGCTACGATGAACTGGGCACTCTGCTAAGTGATCTACATACATGGTGACATTCAATCTTAACAATATCCCTGCAAAATAGGACCTTCTAGCCTCATTTTTTTAGGAAGATGATATTATAATAGAGTTTGGAGACAGGAACTGAATTGCTCAAGGTCATCCACCTAGGACACACAGCTTTTGGAATTTAGTTCTAGATCCTGCCTAGCTTCATAACCTATTCTAATTCTACCACCGCATCAATTATTGTCAGCCACATTTTAATGCCCATGGAATTTCTCATGTGATCTAGGTTCTGGTTCCTCAAGAAAAGACATGGAAACAACAGAGGCCCAGGCATTCTAAATTAACAATGCTAACTCTTGTTTGTTCTTCAAAATTCAACATGTGCCTGCTCCTTTAGGTTAGTGCCCCTCAATATGTAATTTATGGATGGTGCTGTCTGTAAAATGTTACCGATTGATATGCTTTGGATGTGTCCCCACCCAAATCTCATCTTGAATTGTAACTCCCACAATTCCCACCTTTCATGGGAGGAACCCAGTGGGAGGTGATTGAATTATGGGGCGGGTCTTTCCTGCACTGTTCTTGTGATAGTGAATGGATCTCACGAGATCTGATGGTTTTCAAAAGGGGAGTTCCCCGCACAAGCTCCCACTTTGCCTGCTGCCATCCACATAAGATGTGACTCGCTCCTCCTTGCCTTATGCCATGACTGTGAGGCCTCTCTAGCCATGTGGAACTGTTAGGCCAATGAATCTCTTTCTTTTGTAAATTGCCCAGTCTCGGGTATGTCTTTATCAGCAGAGTGAAAATGGACTAATACACCGATCCATTATGAGATAGGAACAGATATTGAAAGTACATAAACATTTATAGCTATTGACAGAGCAATTATTTTCATAATCATCAAATAACAAAACATTTGGGTTTATATTATGTATGTTTTTTTAAATTTTCCTTTTCTAGTAATTCATTTCTATTGTGATTTACAAAAACATCAGTATGTAACACACTGGAAATTAAAAAAATAAAAACTGATTCTTCAAGTTTGAGAAGCACTGTACCCAAGTGAGAGACCTTTGAAAACAGGGGCCATCTTTTAGTGTCTGGATAAGTGAGAAATATTCCACGTAAGGGATGGCTTTTTGCTGAAAACAATTTCTGACCTATACTACTAGCTGCCTCTAGCATTTCTGATCTGAAGGGACACAAACCAGGGGGGACAATTAAAAATATGGACACTGGAGTCAGCAGGAAGTGGATTTGAATCCTGTGTCTGCAACTTAGCAACTACACTATCTTGAGTAAGTTACTTAGTTTTGCTGTGACTTAGTCTCCTCCTCCATGAAAAAAGAAACATACATCAGGGAAATGCAATTCATAACTACAGTGAGATACCACTTCCCACCCATTAGAATGGCTACTACTTTTTTTTAATGGAAAATAATATGTGCTGGTGAGAGTTTGGAGAAATTAAAACCCTGATGTATTGCTGGGGGGAACGTAAAATGAGGTAGCTATTATGGAAAACAGTATGGCGATTCCTCAAAAAGTTAAACATGGAATTATCATATGATCCAGAAATTCTACTCTTAGGTATATACTCAAAGAATTTGAAAGCAGAAACTCAAACAGATATAGACACTGATGATGGTTTAACTTTACCATGGTGCAAAAGTGGTACACATTCAGTAGAAACCATCCTTCAAGTATCCATACAACCATTCTTCTACACAATCTTCCATACACATATGGAAACTGTACACATTTCATCTTTCATTGAAATATGAAGATATCTGGGTGGTACCAGAGACTGACTATGTCAGACATTTCTCTTGAACCATTTCAAACCTGTTTGGGCCCACCACCTGCTCTAGCTGCTACTGTGGATTTTTTCTCTTTCAGTACAGTATTCAATAAATCACATGAGATATTCAACACTTTATTATACAACAGGCTTTGTGTTAGATGATTTTTGTCAACTATAGGCTAATATAAGTGTTCTGAACACATTTAAGGAAGGTGAGGCTAAGCCATGATGTGCTATAAGCTACATGTATTAAATGCAGTTTTGACTTATGATATTTTGAACTTACGGTGGGTTGAAATCCCATCGTAAATCAAGGAGCATCTGTGTTTGTACACCAATGTTCTTAGCAGCACTATCATAACCCAAAGGTAAAAACAGCCCCAGTGTCCTTCAACAGATGAATTAATTTTAAAAAGTGATATATCAATACAGTAGAATATTATTCAGCATTAAAAAGTAATGAAATCCTGGCATACTCTATTAAATGTCACAAAGATTATGCTAAGTGAAATAAGCCAGACACAAAAGGACAAACATTGTATGATCTCACTTACATGAGGCACCTAGAATAGGTAAATTCATAGAGATAGAAAGTAGAATAAAAGTGACCAGGAGTTTCAGGGAGAAAGAAATAGGAGGCTATTGTTTAATGGGTGTAGAGTTTCAGTTTGGGATGATGAAAAAGATCTAGAAATGGATATTGGTGGGATTGGTTGCACAACATCATGAATGTACTTAATGTCCCTGAATTGTACACTTAAAAAAAGTTAAAATGCTAAATTTTATGTTATATGTTTGGGTTTTTTGTTTTTTGGTTTTTTATTTTTATTTTTATTTTTTCCACAGTGAAGGGGAAGGAAGGGAAGGAGAGAGAGAGAAAGAGTACAAGACTACCTTATAGGTTGTTATGAGGATACAATGAGAAGGTGTCTGCAAAATGGCTAGCTAAGAGAATGCATTTTATACATATGTAAAATTTTATTATTAAATTTAAAGCCAGAATTTAGCCCTTACAGGTAGTGAATTTATCTTTTATTTATTTTTTATTTCTATAGGTTTTGAGAGAACAGGTGGTGTTCGATTATATGGATAAGTTCTTTAGTGGTGATTTCTGAGATTTTAGTACACCTATCACCCGAGCAGTGTAAACTGTACCCAATGTGTAGTCTTTTATCCCTCACCCCCTCCCACCCTTTGCCCCAAGTCCCCAAAGTCCATTGTATCATTCTCATGCCTTTGCATCCTCATAGCTGAGTTCCCGTTTGTAAGTGAGAACATACGAAAGTTTGTTTTTCCCTCCCTGAGTTACTTTATTTAGAATAATATTACTCAACTCCATCCGGGTTGCCGCAAATGCCATTATTTCATTCCTTTTTATGGCTGAGTAGTATTTCATGGTATATATCTCACATTTTCTTTATCCACTCATTGATTGATGGGTTGGTTTCATATTTTTGCAATTGTGAATTGTGCTGCTATAAACATGTGTGTGCAAATGTCTTTTGTGTAATGACTTCTTTTCCTCTGGGTAGATGCCCAACAGTGGGATTGCTGGATCAAATGGTAGATATACTTTTAGTTCTTTAAGGAAACTCCACACTGTTTTCCATAGTGGTTGCACTAGTTTACTTTCCAACCAACAGTGTAAAAGTGTTCCCCTTTTGCCACATCTACGCCAACGTCTATTATTTTTTGATTTTTTAAAATTGTGGCCGTTCTTGCAGGAGTAAGGTGGTATCGCATTGTGGTTTTGATTCGCATTTTCCTGACGATTATTAATGTGGAGCATTTTTTTCTACATTTTCTGGCCTTTTGTATATTTTCTTTTGAGAATTGTCTATTCATATCCTTAGCCCACTTTTTGCCCAGGATTATTTGTTTTTGTCTTGCTGATTTGTTAGTGTTCCTTGTAGATTCTGGATATTAGTCCTTTGTTGGATGCATAGTTTGAGAACATTTTCTCCCACTCTGTGGATTGTTTACTCTGCTGATTATTTCTTTTGCTGTGCAGTTTTTTTAGTTTAATTAAGTCCCATCTATTTATCTTTGTTTTTATTGCATTTGCTTTTGGATTCTTGGTCATGAAGTCTTTGCCTAAGCCAATATCTAGAAGGGTTTTTCCAATTTTATCTTCTAGAATTATTATGGTTTCAGGTCTTAGATTTAAGTCTTTGATCCATCTTGAGTTGATTTTTGTATAAGGTGAGAGATGAGAATCCAGTTTCATTCTTCTACGTGTGACTTGCCAATTGTCCCAGCACCATTCGTTGAATAGGATGTCATTTCCCCACTTTATGTTTTTGTTTTCTTTGTCAAAGATCAGTTGGCTATAATTATTTGGCTTTATTTCTGGGTTCTCTGTTGTGTTCCATTGGTCTATGTGTCTATTTTTATACCAGTACCATGCTGTTTGTGTGACTATAGTGTTATAGCACAGTTCGAAGTAGGGTAATGTGATGCCTCCAGATTTGTTCTTTTTGCTTAGTCTTGCTTTGGCTATGCAGATTCTTTTTTGGTTCCACATGAATTTTATAATGTTTTTTTCTAGTTTTGTGAAGAATGATGGTGGTATTTTGATGGGAATTGCATTGAAATTGTAAATTACTTTTAGCAGTATGGTCATTTTAACAGTATTGATTCTACCCATCCAGGAGCATGGGGTGTGTTTCCATATATTTGTGTCATCTATGATTTCTTTCAGCAGTGTTTTGTAGTTTTCCTTGTAGAGGTCTTTTGCCTCCTCGGTTAGGTATATTCCTAAGTGTATTTTTTTTTTTTTTTGCAGCTATTATGAAAGGGGTTGAGCTCTTGGATTTTATTCTCAGCTTGGTCACTACTGGTGTATAGCAGTGGTACTGATTTGTGTACATTGATTTTGTATCCTGGAACTTTGCCAAATCCATTTATCAGTTCCAGGAGCTTTTTGGAGGAGTCTTTAGGGTTTTCTAGGTATATGATCATATAATCTCAGTTTGACTACTCTTTACCAGTTTGGCTGCCCTTTATCTCTTTCTTTTGTCTGATTGTTCTGGCTAGGACTTCCAGGTAGTGGATTTATTATTCAATCTGATATTTATCATATCAAAGGCGAGGGTAGAAATTTGTGGTAAGGAAAAGGTGAATATAGGTTTGGGGAAAAACACCATCCACCAAGAGGCAGAGTGATTCATTTGAAGAAACTAAGCTAGTGTCTCGCACTTCCTTATGCTCTTATCTCCAATGTGCTCCCTTAGGCATAGGGAAGCCTCGGTTTTCTCATCAGTAAAATGGACAGAAGAGCCATGTTTTCAAAGAAAGCACCAAGCTCTGGAATTTTTTCATTCAATTGTTTTGAAGACAATAGAGAAAATAGATGGAGCAGTAGCAAGAGCCAGCTATTTATTGAGTCTGTGGAATACGAAAACTGCACTTATTTTCTAATCTTCCATTGAGATAAGAAGAGATCTGGGTGGTACCAGAAATTGACTGTGTCAGAAACTTCTCGTGCACCATTTCAAGCCTGTTTGGGCCTACCACTTCCTTCAGCTGCAACTGTGATCAGCTCTGAGCAGGTGTCTACTAGCTTAGTTCAGCTGCAACCAGTCTGCAATATACCCAGGGCTTTTCAGTTCCCTCACTTCCTTCCCTGGAACTCCCATGGTGCCATAACATGTGATGCCATAGGCACCCACTTGGCCTTCACATATGAACATCTAGGAAGTGGAGAAGCAGTAATATGTGCAGGTCTGCCTTTAACCCCTGGACAATGGGGCTGATGGATCAATGCCTTCCTCTTTCATTCCCCAGGAAGACCTAAGACTTATTTCATAACACTCCTCAGAAGCTCCCAGAGGCATCTCATCAGTGATCATCAGTAGTTGTGATCTACTGGGGATGTGTAAAGTTTTATGTAATTTTAACCTAAGTTTTGGTTGGAAATTGCCACATTTATTTTGATCTCAGTGACCAAATCACTCACATATACCAAGATGCTCTACTTAACCCAGCGTTGTTAGAAGACCCTTATCTGCCTTGGATACTTGAAAGTTGACATGGATCTTCTTTCTGCATATTTCTTATCAGTGTATTTCTTATCTAACATCATGGAGTCTCACCCAGGCTGGGTATATGAGACTCATGTTCACTCTAGTCTATAGTCATGGAGTTCTCCCTTCAGGTATATGTGGAATAGGAGGTCATTAGGGGAGAGTGTGTGCATCAAAGGTGGGAGGGTTCATTCTCAGCAGGGCCCCCTTCTCTCTGACCCCCAAGGCTGAATTAGAGGTCTCTTGCCCTCCCTCCTATCTGCCCCTATGATTGTGGTCAAATATACACAACATTAAATTTATCATCTTGACCATTTTTAGTGCACAGTTCAGTAGTAAGTTCTAATTGTTGTCTAATCTCCAGAACTTTTCTCATCTTGCAAAACTAAAACTCTATAGAGTGAGCTCTTCATATCCATGGGCTCCACGTCCCCAGAATCAACCAATCATAAATCAAAGACACTAGAAAATATTTTTTTAAATACAAAAATAAAAATAATACCAACAAAAGCCCAATAGCATATAACAACTTCCTACAAAGCATCTACATTCTATTAGGTATTCTAAGTAATCTAGAGATTATTTAAATTATACAGGAAGATGAGCTATATGCAAATATTGTATCATTTTATGTAAAGGACTTGCTTATTCTTAAATTATGGTAGCCATTGAGGGTGTTGGAAGCAATCCCCCGTGGTTACCAAAGAACAACTGTACCTATTAAACAACAACTACTCATTCCCCTCTACCCTGACCCCCTGTCAACTACCATTCTACTGTCTCTATAAATTTGACTACCCTAGGAACTTCATATATATGTAATCATACAGTATTTGTCCTTTTGTGACTGGCTCATTTCCCTTAGCATAATGTTTTCAAGGTTTTCCATATGTCAGAATTCCCTTCCTTTTTTTTTTTTTTTTTTTTTTTTTTTTTTTTTGAGATGGAGTCTTGCTCTGTCGCCCAGGCTGAAGTTCAGTGGTTCAGTGGCGCAATCTCGGCTCACTGCAAGCTCTGCTTCCCGGGTTCACGCCATTCTCCCACCTCAGCCTCCCGAGTAGCTGGGACTACAGGCGCCCGTCACCACACCCAGCTAATTTTTTGTATTGTATTGTTTTGTTTTGTTTTTTTAGTAGAGATGGAGTTTCACAGTGTCAGCCAGGATGGTCTCGATCTCCTGACCTCGTGATCCGCCCGCCTCGGCCTCCCAAAGTGCTGGGATTACAGGCATGAGCCACTGCGCCTGGCCCAGAATTCCCTTCCTTTTTAAGGTTGATAATATTCCACTGTATATATAGACCACATTTCTTTTACCCATTCGTCCATTGAGGGACATTTAGGTTGCTCTCACTTCTTGGCTATCATGAATAATGGGGCAATGAATATGGGTATGCAAATATCTCTTCATGTCCCTGCTTTCAATTCTTTGGGGTATATACCCAGAAATGGTATTGCTGCACCATATGCTAATTCTATTTTTAATTTTTGAGGAAGCACCACACTGTTCTTTGAATTGGTTGCACCATTTTATATTTCCACCCACAGTGCACAAGCATTCTAATAGTTCTCTACATCTTTACCAACACTTGTTATTTTCTGGATTTTTGATAGTAGACATCCTAATGGCTGTAAGACCCTTATGTTTTCGTTCTGTCAATGATAAATGCCTTGAAAGCTGGAACTAGCCCAGGGCCTGGCACCAGTTATATGCTCAGCACAGGATCATTAAATGAATGAAAAAGACAACGAGCTATGGCCTGACTCTGACTGTGGGCAAGTCACTTTCCCTATTCCCAATCTCAGCATCCTCATTCATCAGGTGAAGGAATATATCAGGTCATCTCTGATGACTCTGCCTGACCTCAGAAGGTCAGTATTTCTAAGACATAGACCAGAAGGCAGACTTTGACCACTTCATTCTTTTTGCCAAGGCTAAGTCTCTCTCAGGGGTAAGACACTGCAGGAAACAAAATAATCTTTGCACCATGTTGCTTTCTAGTTCACAAAACCCTGCCACAAAATTTTCCCAGAGAGCACTCGCCATATGCACAAGTGACCAAATCTCTACTTTGGTGAGATGATGTCCTTGCACCGGTAGGACTTTTTTTTTTTTTTTTTTTTTTTTTTGAGGCATATCCTGAATCTATATGCTTAAAATTTAAATAATCTTAGGCATTTATTTAAATAAATAATTTAGATTATTATTATTTAAATACTTTTCTTAAGCATATATCTTCACAGATTTTCACATTTAAATACATTGATATAACCATGGCACAGATAAACACACAATATTTCTAGCACCCTCAGAGATTCCCTCACGCATTTTCCTAGGCAGAAATCATCCTACATCTATCCGTAAGGAACCACTATTCTGATTACTACCATAATCAGTTTTATATATTATTTCATAAAAGTGGAGTCATACAGTCTTCATCCTCTTGAGTCTTGATTTTTTGCTTAATATAATTTCTGAGTGATCTATTCATTTTATTGTATGTAGCAACAGTTTATTCTTTTTAAGTATGGAGTGTCTTAGTCTACTCAGGTTGCTATAATAAAATGTTACAGCAATTTGTAAACTGGGTAGCTTATAATGTAAACTGGATGGCTTATAAACAACAGAAATTTATTTCTCACAGTTCTGGAGGCTGGGGAGTACAAAATCAAAGTGTCAAATATTTAAAGTTAGGTGAGGACCTGCTTTCTTGTTCATGGATGGTGCCTTTTTGCTGTGTTCTCATATGGCAGAAGGTGTGAAGGGGCCCTCTGGGGCATCTTTTATAAGGACACTAATCCCATTCACGGGGGCTCTGCCCTCACGACCTAATCTCCTCCCAAAGGTCCTACATCCTAACACCATTATATTGGTAATTAGATCTTAACATAAAAATTTTAGGGAGACACAAATATTCACACCATAGCATGTACTATTCTTTGAATATACCATAATTTAATTATTCATCCTTCTATTGTTGGCATTTGGGTTGTTTCCACTTTGAGACTACTACACATAAAACCATGAGCACTCTTGTGCATGTCTTTTTGTAGACATATGAACTATATTCTCTCGGGTTTAGATCTTGGAGTAGCTTGCTGAGGCACACGGTAAGCTTGTGTTTAATTTAGTAGACACTGCCAAACAGTTTTCCAAAGAAGTTGTATGAATTTAAACTCCCTGTTGAGACTTTAAAGATTATATAGTTGAACATACAGCTATATATATACATAGAGAGATAGATATAGATATAGATATATAGATATGTAGCTATAAATACAGATGTGGATTCTCCTCCTTTTCCTAAAATGAGAACTTGAAACTCAACAAAATTTGTATCTAAGATGTTGGTCACAACATTTATATTTATAGATGTGAAAATTTTGAAATGCCAAACAATTTAAAAATTATTAAGTAAGTTATTCTCCATCCAGAAAATATGACTGTATCATTAGCAACATTCACTAACATAAGGTTTTTAAAATATGGGGGAAATGTTTTTGATGTAGAAATTAAGGGAAAATAATTTTTTAGAATTCAACACTGCCTATCCAGTGAGATCTCACTGACGTTTGTTTGCCTAGAAAACAGGCCCAAGAAACGTGAATCAGAACATTAACAGACTATCTTTTGGGGGTTGGATTACGGGTGATAGGCATTTCTTTCCTATCGTTTCCAAAATTAGAATATTTTGTTTCATAATCAGATAAAAGTAAAAATGTATGCAAAAAGGCAAAGCTCTCTTCTCGGAGTCTGGAGGGCTACTTTGATAATTCCCTGTATAAAAAATAACAGCAAAACGACTGTATTTCCCCGCTCTTCTACTTCTTCCTAACTCTGCTGTCAGCATGAGTTGGATTGAGAGACTAGAAGGAAATATGCCAAAACATTCGATGAGGCTCTTTGCAATTTTCTGTACTTTCCAAATGTTCTCTAGTAAGTGAGTATTCATTTCATGATTGGAAAATAAAGAACATGTAAAAAAGAGTTTTGTTTTTTTTTTTAAAGTGGGATTGAAAAAGTGATTTTTTTTTCCCCCTCCATCAGAACTGAGAGGGCTTTGTCTTCCCTGTGGTATCAGACCAAAGAGTAGCTATTTTCATCCATCGGCATCACCACAACCAGCTAAACCTAGCCACATTTTGTGTATGTTTGATGTGTTATGGACTATTTTTCAGAAGTTTAGATGATTGGAGAAACCCCAAAGGCGCTTGTCTGGAAGATGTTTGCCCTTCATTCCTAAGGTAAATTTAATGCACATGTATTAACCATCTCTCTCCAGTCCTCTCCCTTTGAAGTGGGCTTGCCACTGAGCTCAACTTCAAGGTTTCCCGTGATGCTTCCTTGGTCTCCCTAATTCACTTAATGCGGGTGGTTGGTGGTAGAAATGCAGACAGCACTTGGAGGGTGCAACTAGATGTACTCATTCAGCAAATTCCAGCGAAGAAGCCATGCTGTCCCAGGCTCTAGGGATGCGCGGAGCACTGAGGGAGGGTTTCTTCTGAGGAAGAGCTCCCAGTTGACCAGGGGAGACAGAGGAATAAATAAATAAATGAAACAGGACTGCCTTAATTTTAGAGCTAGCAGAGTGCTGTGAGATTACAGCCAGAGACTGAACAACTCAGGAAACCCCCCTGTAGCTACTAGAACAAATGTGGAAGTGTCTGGCAGCCCAGCCCTTTTTCTCCCATACCTATCTGTCCTTGAATGTCACATCACCTCATATAACGTAGTTCACTGCTAAAGCTCAAACCAGCCATCTTGTTTATTTGTTACTTACACTGTGATGGCAGCCCCAGGAGTTAGGACACCTCGTTTCTCCCAGTCACTATTATGTCCCCCATCAGAACTGAGGTTAGCGCTGGACAGTGACACTTCCAGAATTCCTGCCCAGGAGCTGTTTAGAGATAGCAACCTGAGCGGAATGAGAGTAGGACTGAAGCTCCATTTTAATAGCAAGTGCTGTGTTGCTTGTTTTGACACTCGCAAGTTTATTTGGCATCTCACTGGCAGGAAGAGTGTCAGAAATTAGGGAAAAGCAGCTCAAAACACTCCTAGCCACCCCTTGAGACACCTCTGTCCCGTAGCCCCTTAGAAGTTCAGAGAGGCCCATTTTCACTTATTTTAAACTTCTAATGTAATTTTAGGATGAAGCAATGCCAGGAAGAGATTACAAAAATCATGCTGTTTTAAATATTTGCACATAACAAATTAACATCTTGAAACAGAACACAATGTTATCTTTTTAGTCACAGGATAATTCCAATATTTAAAAAAAAATTGAATTACAGTGCACCTTGGACGGTATGTTCCAGTAACGAGACACAAATTTAAAATTGTAAAATAAATGATTTGTCTTAATTTCCTCTCTCTCTCTCTCTGTTTCTCTCTTCCCATGTGAGATGCTTTGTCTTCTGCCCTTCTACCCTTGGACATTAGACTCCAGGTTCTTTGGCCTTTGGACTCTGGGACTTGCACCAGCAGCCTCCTGGGGGCTCTCAGGCCTTCAGCCTCAGACTGGACGCTGCACTGCTGGCTTCCCTGGTTTTGAGGCTTTGGGACTTGGATTGAGCCATAATACCCATTTTTCTCATTCTTCACCTTGCACACGCCCTATCAAGGGACCTTTGTAATTGTGTGAGCCAATGATATAAACATTTATATAAACATATATCCTATTTGGTTCCGTCCCTCTGGAGAACCCTCACTAATACAGATTTTGGTACTGAAAATGGGGTCTACCTATCCATGTGAAGCCCAGCCAAGGAATCCCCATGTCCCATCCCCACCTCACCATTCTCTGTATAAACTCTTTCTGACACATAATAAGTGCTTACCAAGTGGCTTATCCATAAATACTGAACAAATCCACAAACAAAGGAATAAATGAATAAAGTTGGAAAAGAAGGGCACAAGAGTGGAGGCTACAAAGATGAACAGTAGCCCAGAAACTTTGTGGTGGGAAGATAAACAGCCTTCTAAGCCCAGTAGACAGGTGTGCCTACAGATGGGATTGACAAGTAGAACCATGTGTGCTGGGAACTGCAAACAGGACAGAGCTGCAAATGCTGCTGGGGACATAGTGCAATCTTCAGTGTGAGAGGTGGCAAGGAGCCAGATCCCACAGGGCTTTGAGAAGAGCTTGGAGATGATGGGGAGGCACTGAAGGCTTTTAAGCAAGAAAGGAGTTGTGACTTGACTTGCCTTTAAAGATCACTTTGGCGCTGGTGTAGATCAGAAGACATGAACCTTGGTCTGTGGGACAAGTCTGGCCCTCTACCAGGTTTTGTGAATAAAAGTCTTGTTGGAACAGAGCCACACTCATACATTTGTGTATTGTCTGTGGCTGCTTTTGCACCACAACAGCAGAGTTAACTAGCTGTGATGGAGTCCATCAGCAGGCAAAGCTGATAATATTCACCACCTGGCCCTTCAGAGAAACACTTTGTTGACTGCTGGTCTACAGGAAAAGAGAGAAGAATTCAGAGACAAGGAGATCAGTTACAGCTTGCCAGTAGCCAGTATACAGAGAATGGAGAGGAGGGGGAGACAGGAGAGATGCTAAGAGGTAGAATCATCAAGACTTAGGGCTTGGTGGGAGATAGGGGAAGGGTGTTCAGGATGACTCTCTGTTTCTCACTTGCATGACCGGGTACACGTTGTATCATTTATTAAAATAAGAAAGAAAACCAGGTTTAGGGATGGGGAAAGAAGAATTTGTATTTCAACCTGTTGAATTTGAGGCTCCTTAAGGATGTTCGGCTGGAGATGTCCTCCAGGCAATAGAATAACCAACACTGGAGCATCTTGGAGACACAACTCTTAAGTCCTCAGTGTGTCAGAGGAGGCGATTAAAGAGGCAGGAGAAAGGATATGCAAAGAGAAGAGCTGTGGACTGATGATAGGGTTCTGGGAACTTTCCAGAGCTCAACTAGGGGCAGACAGAAGCCTGAGGAACCCAGGGCTCTAGGGAAAGCTGCTTCCTACACAGGAGCTCAGAACCCTGTGTCCTACTTCCTCTCCCACCAAGACCGAGCAGGGCTGGCAGCTGAGGGGAACCCCCTCTCTGCCTCCACTCTGGGAGCTGTGGGGAGTTGTAGGGAGCTCCCATTTGCCTTTCTGCTCTAGAGAACCCACCATTCCCACCTAATAATTGTCCCATTCTGAGGGATCCACAGGATCTTATCATTTTCTATATAACCACCTGAGCATTGCTGCCAGCTCACATCCAAGTGATGCCAAATGCCAGAATGAAAAGTGGACTTGCTTAGTAGCCCGCAATGCCAGATCAACTTTCTCTCTTTTTATATTATATTAAATATTATCAGCAGAGTATTATCAGTGGGCTTTACTCTATCAATGTCCAGCTAAGGAACAGTCTACACATGATTTTTCAGGAACATTTCAGCTGGCTTTTCTTCCCAAGAGCATCACCTTAGCTCTAGGCTTAGAAGAATCATATATATGAGACATATATACATATACACATATGAGCTATATATTGTATGCACATATATATGATATATACCATATGATATATGATATATATGACATATACACACACACATTTTTTTTTTTTTGGCTCAACTGACAAACTGATGACCAAAAGAAGAAGGAGCTTCCAAGAAGCTCAACAAGCTTATGGCGAAGCTGAAAATATCCCATGTCTTTCCACTCTAAACTTGATGCTCACTTTCCTCCTAACTCCTCATGCATGTTCCACCAAAGGCCTCCACCACCCCATTGTGGCTTTTGAAGGCTATTTTTCTCTTCTTTCCCCATGTTGCACTCAGGCCCTCCCTCGCCCAGAATGATGTCACGTACACACACAGGCAGGCATAGCGTTAAGGTTTCAAGGGGTGGAAAGCTTATTCTCCACACCTCTAAATTTCCTTGAGCATTTTGGCGGCCTGCCCTTCTCTGAGTCCTCCCTTCGGAGGTATAGTAAGCTCTCTGGCTAGAGGAACAGCTGTCGTTCGATGGTTCCCTCTGGGTATCTTCATCAGAAACCCTGACCCTGGGGGTTTGGCTTGACTTCTCACCTCCAACCCCACACAGGATGAGGCAGTGACAATAGCTTAGTAGGTCTGCTCTGCAAACTTGAACTTTCTCACCATTTAACTGCTCTGAGGTCAGATGCATTTGACTCTAAACACCATGCATTTCAACAAGGTTTTATGATATTGAAAGTTGTATTTTGATATCCATCTTACTAACTCCTTTGTCTACCTTTCAATTTGTTCCAACCATAGGTGGAAATCAGGGAGGGTATCCACTTTTCAGAAAAAAAAAACAAAAAACAAAAACAGGGAAGCAGAGATTTTCAAAACAAAAACTATGTGTCCATGTAAGGTGTGGAGGGAAGGGAGGTTGGCTCTGACATTTCATCTTCATGGTAATTTATGTGACTTTTGCATGCTTTGTCCGTCTGAGAAAGAGGAAGTCCAAAGCTGAGGCTCTTCTATTTTGTTTGGGAATGAGTCACAATCTGGCCCTGGACTACCTATCTAGCCTCATTCACCATGGCTGGCTGCTCTGAAACCAGACTCATATTTTCCCTAAACGTGATCCCATCCTTCCAGCCACCAGGCCTTGGCTCACACGGGGATTCCCACATCTCCACGCTCAGTCTCAGTATGAGACTCGGTGCAGCAGGGCTTGACCCTGGTCTGCAGGAGACATGAAGAATGGGCTATCTCAAGACACAAGCTCTCTGATCCTAGTTTCCTGGGACTGCCAGGACAAAGTGCCACAAACTGGATGGCTTACAACAACAGAAATGTACTTTCACATATTCTGGAGGACAGAAGTCTAAAATTGAGGTGTCTGCTGAACATGTTCCCTCTGAGAAGTAGAATCCTTCCTTGCCCCTTTCGAGCCTCTGGTGATGGCCGGTAATCCTTGGTGTTCCTTGTACAGCAGCATCGCTCCCATCTCTGCCTCCGTCATGTCGTGGTGCTCTTCCTTTGTAGGTCTGTGTGTCTCTGTCTTCATGTGGCATTCTCCTTTTGTTATAAAGACACCAGTCACATTGGATTAAGGACCCACCCTAATGACCTCATCACAACTTGATTACGTCTGCAAAGATCCTATTTCCAAATACAATAGTCTCCTCTTATACATGGGGGATACATTCCAAGACCCCCAGTGGATGCTGAAACCACGGATTGTACCAAATCTGATTGCGGTCAATTGGAACATCTTTCTGTTTATGTCTTCCACCCACAAATGCAATGCCTTTGTCATCTTAACTAAACACTTATCACATACTGTGGCCATAACTTCTGCAGTTTAAGGTGTGACAGTAAAACCAGTGTGAATTTCTTTTTCCTTCCTCATTATTTCACTAATGGATTTGTTCTTACCATAGATATTAGTGATCTCAGTATGCAGTTTTTTTTTCTTTCTTCAATAAGTCAAGAACTTTCATTTTTTGGCTTCTCTTTGGCATATCCAAATTGCCGGCCTCATTACTCTTCCCCACTGGGGACATTATTAAGTAAAGTAAGGGTTACTTGAACACAAGCACTGCAATACCATGACAGTCAATCTGATCTCCAAGATGGCTAATAAGTGACTCATGGGCAGGTAGCTTACGCAGTGTGGATATGCTGAATAAAAAGACAATTCATGTCCCAGGTGGGACAGAGCAGGATGGTGCAAAATTTCATCAAGCTACTCAGAATGATAAACAATTTAAAACTTAGGAATTCTTTATTTCTGGATTTTCCGTTTCATATTTTTAGATCATTGTTGCCTGAAAGTAAAGGAAACCACAGAAATCAAAATCATGGAAAGGGAAATCTCAGATAAAAGGGAACCCCTGTAGGGTCATATTCATGTGTACCAAGAGTTGGGACTTCTGCATATCCTTTCAGAAGATAGAATTCAACTCCTAACAGCTCTCATTCACTTTTCAAGGCTCAGACTCCTAACAGTGGGAAATGCTCCCGGAGGCTGCAACCAGGTAGGACCTTTCCTTCCTCTGCTGTCCCAGGAATTGGTCTCCATCTTTTGATATTTGTACCGGGTTCCCTCATGTGGTAATTTGAAAGACATGACAGAGAAATCATGTGTGCAAGGAGAAGAAAATGTTACTTTGCACCCATAGGTACTCTTTTGTGCTTTGCATAGTCTCTCACAGATTACGGTTTCTGTAATCATTCTTTGGACTGACCTGAAACTGTGGAGGGATCTGGCCCCAGGAAGCCTCTGGAAGAATTCAGGATTGAATGATTGAATGGAAGCACCGGCACAAACTCACCACAGCTGGCCAGGAAAGCCCTGACCAACGGGCGTCCCCAGGTCCCTCTGTGGTGTGTGCTTCAGCCTGCTGCCAGCTGAGGAGTGTCCCCCGACTGATTTCTCCGGATAGAGCTGAATCCAGAAAGCAGGCTGTTCAAGAGAGGCATGTGGCTTGGCTGAGTCAGGCCCACTTCCTTTCCCCAGTCTGGTATTTATGGCTCCCTGCAGCAGCCTAGTTGGCAGGTCTGGACTGCTTCTCCACCTACATTCCTAAGCCACACTGCTTGGCCAAGATGCATACCTGCAGCCTGGCCTCCAGTGTTGGACAGTGTTTGTGGGAGTCTTGCTGCTCCTTGGGAGATCAGCACCTGGTGGCTGGGAGCGAATTTTGGATACCTGCAAAGCCTCCAAGTTGCAGCCATTATTTTAGCCCAGGCCACAGGGCAGGAGGACTTTATCATATAGAATGCATCAGAATGAATACACCGGTGTTCCAGATCCCAGTTCTGTCCTTTAGGGAAGGCTGTGGCCTCAAACAGGTCATACGCCTCTCTAACCCACTGTGATTGATCTCATGTTGAAAATGGGTTCATTGGCAATTTCCTTGCAGCATTACTAGAAGGCAGCTTGGTGGTAAAGGACAAGTGTTCTAGAATCAAGCAGCCTAAATTCAAACTCAGGCCACAAACTTGGAGCAAATCACTTAATTCATCCAGCTTTAGTCGTCTCAGCTGGAAAACTGTACTTGTTTCCTACGCCATGCTAACAAATTGTCATAAGTTTGGTGGCTTAAAATACGCACACTTATTTGCTTACAGTTATGGAGGCCAGAAGCTCGAAGTCAGCTTTACTAGGCTGAAACAAAGGCATTGGCAGGGCTGTGCTCTCTCCAGAGGCTCTAGGGAGAGTCCATTTACTGGTCTTTTTCAGCTTCTAGAGCTGCATTCCTCGAATTATGGCCATTCCATCCACCTTCAAAGCCAGGAGTGTAGCATAGCATGTTCAGATCTCTCTCTGCTTCCATCATCACAGCATCTTCAGCATTCGGTGTCAAATCTCCCTCTGCCTGCCTCTTTTTTTTTTTTTTTTTTTTTTTTTTTTTTGAGATAGAGTTTCACTCTTGTTGCCCAGCTGGAGTGCAATGGTGCAATCTCAGCTCATTGCAACCTCCCTTGAACCTCCCAGGTTCAAGCGATTCTCCTGCCTCAGCCTCCCAAGTAGCTGGAATTACAGGCCTACACCACCACACCCAGCTAATTTTTTGTATTTAGTAGAGATGGGGCTTTACCATGTTAGTCAGGCTGGTCTCAAACTCCTGACCTCAGGTGATCCACCTGCCTCGGCCTCCCAAAGTGCTGGGATTACAGCTGTGCGCCACCATGCC
Source organism: Homo sapiens (assembly GCF_000001405.40). Classification (NCBI taxonomy): domain Eukaryota; kingdom Metazoa; phylum Chordata; class Mammalia; order Primates; family Hominidae; genus Homo; species Homo sapiens. Next base: position 108,186,254 of record NC_000009.12, read on the forward strand.
TGGCTTCTGCCTCCCTCTTCTAAGGACACCTGTGATTTCACTTACCGCTCACCAGGATAATCTCTCTATCTCCAAATCCTTCACTTAATCACACCTGTGAAGTCTCTTTTGCCACCTAAGGTGACATTTACAGATTCCAGGAATTAGAACCTGGCTGTCTTTGAGGACCATTATTAGGTCTATAACAACAACATTAAAAATATGTATCAACCAATACAGCATGACACAGATCCCTCAGCATGGTCCTCTGCTTTCCTGCCTCATGAGATGGGCAGAGACCACTTAGGGAGCTCACATTAGCAGCATTTACTAACCAGGTTTCAACTATTTCAATATTTTAACAACCAGGCATACCACCTAAATATGAACACTGCTATTAGTAAATGCCTCAGAGAGCAATTGTCATGATTAGATGCCACAATCCATGTCAAGAATACTAAGCACAATGCCTGGCATACAGTAAATGCTTAAGAAATGCTAGCTATTAACATGGTTATTAATAGTGAGCTGGTGCCTCCCGGGGCCTGAACTCTGTTCTGAGTGGATTCATTTCTCTGAAAGATGAGAGCTCCCCTGCCTCCAGCTGCATCTCCACTGTCTCTTCAGGCAGCACAGATATTCCCGCATGCCTGGGCCTTGCCCTCCTGGGTACCAGTCCTACTCATTCTTCTCTATTTCCTCCACCTTCTCCCTGGATATGCTCTCACTCTCAGCTCCCCCAGAGTCAGGACACAACCTATCTTCTGCAGCTGGCATTCTAATCAGAAATTGGGTCAAGACACCCATTCACCAGCCCCCAGTTTGCCCAAAGAATAAATTATGCTTCCCACTTCCTCATCTACATAAGATGTGCTGTGGCCAAGAATGCACTGGATGCTTCCAGCAGCCTGGGAGGTGGCCAAGTATCCTGAGCTTGGAGTGTGTGCACTGGAGCCAGGCTTTGACAGCTGCAAGAAGTCCCTTGCTGGAATATCCATTACTCTGAGCTGATTGGCCAAGCCTGGATGAGGGCGCCAGGCCATACCCATTCCTATGAGCTGACTATAAAGTTAGTACTCTAAAGCTACAGTCTTCTCTTGAAGCCAAGTAGATGAGGGCCTATTGGAATCCTCTGTACAAGGAGGAAGGTTCCAGGCCACCCTCAGTACCGATGGCTAGTTAATCTTTGAAGTTTGGCTCTCCAATCACCCTCTTCAATTGTATTTTTCCACCTTTAATTTAAGAGTGTCAGTCCTGGGTCAGAAACGGAGCCAGGATCTAGAAATCCAAACTCAATGATAACAGCTATTGCTTATTAAGTGCTTATTCTGTGCTAGACAAGGGGCTTACATTAACCTTCCAGTTGTAATAAGATGCAGAAAGTGATGCTTAACATAGGTTAAGTGACTTGTAAATGGTGCTGCCAAGTCTTCAACTCAGGATGTCAAAGTCTTACTGTTGTTGTTTTTTCCCCCATGCTACCATACTTCCTGTGAATGAAAAGCAATCCTGGCTCTCAGAAGCTTCAATCCAGTGGGAACATGCTCCATAATTAAATAACTGCAACCTCCTATATGCTAAGCAAGATGGGAGGAGCAAAAAGAAAAAAACAATCTCTCTCCTATGCCAATAAAGTCCTTGGAGACTACCTGATTCAACCCCTCACTCTGCAGATGGGGAAACTGAGTCAAAGGCCTCACAGTGAATATGTAGAAGAGCTAGGACCAGGGCCCAGCCTCCTGCTGCCAGGGCCACACTACCCTCCCCAGTGGCCCTTCCTGCTACCTGGGCCCCCAAGGAAGGAAAGAGTTGGGATTAGGGTTGTTAGATTCAGCAAAAACCAAAACAGATGCCCAGCTCAGTTTGGATTTCAAGTAAACAACAAATAAAGGATTTTTTTTGTACTTATGTATGTATGTCTGTGTGTGTATGTATATGTATACACACATATATACATGTATATCATATATATATATACACACCCATAAGCTAATATTATAAGCAGTAACTATCACCATTTACAAGTGTGTCCCAAATATACTTGTAATGTCTCATATACATATATATATATCCCCAAAAATATTTGGGACATACTTATACCAACAAAATATTTATTGTATATATGACTATTTTCTTCATTTGACAATTCTGGTTGGGCTGGATCTCAGGCATTCAGGGCTCTAGGAAGGGGGTTAAGCTAAGCAGGCCTGGATTGTGGGGGAGTAGCATCCACTCTTTGGTTGACTTATGGCTGATTAGGTGAAATTCACAGAAATGGTCTATAAAGCCAATGCAAGAGGAAGACAAGAGAGAGACTCCTGTTATGTACAACAGGAATCTGCAGACTCCAGCCAGTCAAAAGGGCCATATTCACACAAGAACCATTCCAGGAAGGGAGAGGAGAAGGGGAGTAGGAGTGACTGACAAAGCAGCTACAGGGGCCCAGTGAGGGCAGCACAGAGTAGGTAGAGAGGGACTCTGCCTGGGCGGAAACCTCCTGTGGAAGTGGAGCTTCTCCAAGTAGTGGTGGTCACCAGGAGGATAGGGTAGTGGTAGCAGGGGGACATCCTACATGTTTTTATGCCCACCCTAGCCTTCTTCGTGTCTGGTAGCTTGGGATAATGCAAAAAATGCCTAAGATTTGGCTTCAGAATTTCAAGTCACATTAGCCCATGTCCCAGCTATGTGACCTGGACACATTTACAGAGCATTTCTGAGTTCAATTTTTTCCTTTATAAAATGGGATTCACTGGGCTATTGTTCAAATCAGACAAGAAAATGAGGATATGACTTTATAAAGTGCTTCTATAAATGCTGGCACTTATTGCAGTAAATGCTCAGTGTCTACTGAATGAATGTTGTTTTTGTATTTTCTGTCTCTCCTCATCAAAAACACATCAGGATCCTAAAACAAATCCCATTTGTGAATCCAGTCCTCTGCTGCTTTATCATTCCCTTGCCATTCCAATTGGAGAAGAGGATAATTGAATGATTTGAAGCTGTGAAGGGGCCAGATTCCCCTGGCTTCGGGTTTCCATTGTCATTTGGGAGAGTTGCTCTGGCTCTCGGAAGCACACTGGGCACTATTAAATAATTTCCTATAGCAGGAGCTTGTATGAGATGGTCCCTTAGTGCATAATAGTTTTGAGGATGAGGTCAAGCCAGTATTATGGGTGTTAAAAAGTAATTATGTGGAGCCACAGAGGTGGAGGCCTAGACAGTGGGGAGCCAAGATAGGAGAAGGGGGTAGGAGGAAGGGGGAAAATGGGAGGAAAGAGGAGAAAGAGATAGGCTGTTGCAGGATCTGGTTACTCTCTGCTTGCAAGTTCACCTTTGGGAATTAAAGCAAATCATTTGAACTTCCTGAATCATTTTCCTGATATATAAAAAGAACAGACCCTGCTTACAGATGGGTTGAACTGATAATTAGCAGAAACTGTTGGACATTTTACTATATGTATATAATAATGTCTTATGGTACTATAGCATCCTATTTGAATTTCATATGACTCTGGAGTGGGCAGAGGAAAAAGCATAGCTGAAAGCCCTAAGATACAAAACTGCAAGGGCTCTAGTGTGGCCAGGATGTATTTTTTCAAGGGGGAGAGTATTGTGAGATTAGGTGGAGTATCACACAGAAAGCAGCTCGGTGGCCCTCAACACCAGCTTCACCTAAAAATCACCTGGCAGCAGGGAGGGGGCAGGGTTTGAAAAAGTATCAGCGTCCAGGACCCACAGGTAGAGATCAGAGTAGTTGGTCTAAAGTGGGTTCTGGACAAAAGAATTTAAAAAAATTCTGTCCCCTCTAGATGATTTTTTTTTTTTTGAGACAGTCTTGCTTTGTTGCCCAGGCTGGAGTGCAGTGGTGCGATCTCAGCTCACTGCAACCTCCATCTCCAAGGTTCAAGCGATTCTCGTGCCTCAGCCTCTCAAGTAGCTGGGACTACAGGCACCTGCCACCATGCCCAGCTTATTTTTCTATTTTTAGTAGAGATGGGGTTTCACCATGTTGCCCAGGTTGGTCTTGAACTCCTGACCTCAAGCAATCCACCTGCCTCGGCCTCCCAAAATGCTGGGATTACAGGCGTGAGCCACCATGCCTGGTCACCTCTAGATGATTCCAATGTACAACCACAGTTAAGACCCACTGGGCTAAACCTTTCAGAACAGAAAAAGTTGTGTCAATTTATTCTAATGGGAGTGTATTGAGCATTTTAAAGCAAGAGGTGGAGTGATACCTGATTTGCATCTTTAAGTGTCACTTAGGATGCTGTGTAAAGATCAAAAGTGGGCAGGCAAGTGAGCAAGCTTGCAATAACCCAGGTGAGAGATGTGGAGGGTAGGACTGGGGCTTCAGCAGATGGAGGTGAAGGAAACTGAAAAGAGCCATGATGTATTTGGGAGGTAGATTGGATGGGTGATGGGTTTGTGTGAGAATCCTGGAGACATGATTTTCAAAATTATGGTATTTCTGAGATAATCATCTGGATGGATGGCAGTACCATTTATTGAGTTGGAGAGAATTGGAGAAGGAGCATGTCTGGCATGGTTTTGAATCTAAGTTTAAGATGCCTGTGAGACATTCACGTGGAGCTGTCAAAGGGGCAGTTTGATGTCCAATCCTAGAGCTCCAAAGAGGTCTGGGCTGGAGATGTGAGCTTCAGAGTTGTCAGTAGGTAAATAATCTTTAAAGATTCACATACGTGAGTGAGATTACTGGTGACTGTAAGAAGAATAAGAAGAGATCTTGGAACTGCATCCCTAGGATCTCCAGTGTTTAAGGTGTAGGAAGACCTAGGGATGCTGACTGGTGGAACTAAGAAGAGGGAGAGGGGACGTATCTGTGGGAATGTGGTACAACCAGAAGCAAAGGACAGGAGTGTTTCAGGAAGGAGGTGTCTAAGGCTGCTGGGATGGCAAGCTGGATGGCAGGCTCTATCCGACACATTCCACTGGATGTTGCAGCAAGGAGAGTTTCAACGACTTTTAAAGTAGCAGTTTTGGGGAAGTGAGGGGCCAAAATCCAGCGTGCAGTGAGTAGGAGAGTGAATAGGTACCCTGTGACTCAGCATGGCCATTCATAGTCTGTGGGAAACCCTTGCCCATGAGCACAAAGGCCTATGTGGAAGTAAGTATGTTTATCAAAGCAGTGCTTGTAACCAACTTAAACACCCATCTAGAGTAGAATGGAAAATTAATCCAGGGCAAGAGAGGCAGCTAGAGAGTGCAGTGGTAAAGGCAAAGACTCTGGAGCCATATTACCTGATTTGAATCTTACATCTTCTTCTTACTTGCTGTGTGCCCAGGAGCAAGTTACTGGATCTCTCTGTGCTTTAATTTTCTCCTTTATAAAATGGGGGTAATAATACCTATATATCTCATAAGGATGTTGTGAGGATTAAAATAAGTTAAAAATATAAAATGAGTTAACATAAGCATATTGGGCAAGGCACAGTGGCTCATGCCTGTAATCCTAGCACTTTGGGAGGCTGAGGTGGGCGGATCACTTGAGGTCAGGAGTTCAAGACCGGCCTGGCCAACATGGTGAAACCCTGTTGCTACTCAAAATACAAAAATTAGCCGGGTGTGGTGGCACACGCCTGTAATCTCAGCTACTCGGGAGGCTAAGGCAGGAGAATTACTTGAACCCAGGAGGCGGAGATTGCAGTGAGCTGAGATCTTGCCACTGTACTCCAGCCTGGGTGACAGAGTGAGATTCCATCTAAAAAAAAAAATAAAAATAAAAATAAAAAAAGACACATCTAGAATTACTAAATACCATGGCATAAAGCAAAGGGTCTTGAGATAATTTTTTTACCTCCCCATTTTATAGATGAGCGAAAGAAAGTTATACAAGGGGAAAGTGGCTGGTTTAAATCACTGGAAGCTAGGAGGAGCCTTTTCCCCAGGTGCTTTTAGTACCCAGCCCCTTCACCACACCACTCTGCCCCCAGACTGCAGACTCAGGTCTTATGAGTCTTACTCAATGCCTTGATACGGCAAAATGTTAAGGAGGCCACACAAATATGGCTAAAAAAGTCTTAGTCTGGAAACATGATTTTTTTTTTTTTTTTTTTTTGGCCTTTGTAGTTATTTAAGGTTGACAGCATTTACTTTGGTGGCTCACTTGCTTGCTTGTTGGTTAGTAAATTCTTCTGGGTTCAGCCTAAATTAAAGTGAGTTCATCCCCTCCTTCTTCATCCGCCTCTTACATTGCACTGGTCCGTTCTACTTCCTGATTCTCTCCCCACCCTCAGAGCCTCAGTTTGCCTGTTTTGGAGCCTAGCAGCCTCCTCTCCTTTCTTCCTTTCCCCAGACTCTGCCTTTCAATGCATCCTCCTCCACATGGATCACAGATGAATCTTTGTAAAACACAAACCTGCCCATACCTCTTGTCTGCTTATTCCCTTCAGAGGCACTCTGTGGTCCTCAGCATGAAGTTCTTAGCTTGGCTGCTAAGACCTTCTGTGACCCTGCTTCTAGCTACCTTTTGGGCTCACACGTCACTTGTTGCTATGATTCTCACCTCCGTCACACCTTATGCTCCCACCACACAGAGGGACTCACCATTTCTTCACTAGGCTCTTTCTCACCCCCAGCCCATGTCCAGGTTTCTCTCTCTTTTTTTCCCCTCTCTTCACATGTGTAACTCCAGCTCATTTTTCAGTCACGCCTCCCATCTTCAAGGAAGCCTTCCCTGGGACCCTAGCTGGTACACCTCACCCACCCCTCCAGGAGCTGGCTGCCCCCGTGAGGCTCCCATAGCAGCACCCTGGGTTTGCATCTATCTTTAGCACTTATCACACTCAATTATCAGGGTCTACTAATATGTCTCTCTTCCTCTAATAGCCTAGGAGATCCTCAAGGCTAGCAGACCCTTTCTTATTTCTTTTTATGTCTCTAGTAGGTCTGGAATGTGCTATGCACAGACATCACAGACTAGATACACAAATGAACTTTATTACAGAACGGAAGAATTTGTTTTGTAACTGGGAAGGGACACGCAAAAGTCGCGTCTTCCTGCTTTTCAAAGATTTCTGATTATACCAGTTACGCACCGCACTTATACTTGCTAGATATTGTGGAGGTGCTAAGAAATTTGTTTTGCCTATAACTGCATTTTTTAAAAGCCTGTGTTTATGTTTTCTAAGTGAGATAATTAGAAAGGCTTCACATGGTATAATTCCATAGATATTATGCTGCTCACTCGTTATAAAAATAATCAAGTATGTCTCATAAAGATGACTTAATTTCACGAATGAGTTGTACTCAAGTAAATATTTACTTCTAAATGCAATTTTGTTGAAAAACCTTTCAGAACACTTTCATTAAACTTGTATGATGCATAAGCTGTGTAGTTATTAAGTCATTATTCAAAGGATGATCATTTTTAAATAAAAAGAAACACATGCTTTCAATGCATCAAACACTTATTTAGAGCTACTTACATGCCAAACCTTGAGGTGACCACAATTCCTTTGATTTCTGGCATTAGTCTTTATTTTACACACACACACAAACACAAACACAAACACAAACACACACACGCACTCCATAAGCAAATCCAAAACAGAGCAATGATCTCTTCCTTCTCTCCATTTTACTGCTCCAGTTCTGATCAATTACCACTTAGATAGATCTTTGAAGATTTCAACATTTCGTAATTCAATTTTTGTCATCTTTCAATCCATTTTCTGTATAACAGCCAAGTCAACTTTGTAAAAATTAAACCATATTATGACACTCACTTGCTTAATACCTCCCAGTGACTTCCCGAGATATAATTTGTTTTATAAGGTAACTTCAACACCCCATTAACCCCTGAAGCTCTCTGTTCTCCAATTGTACTGGGCATTTCTTTCTGCCTTTATCCTCCAAGCCAGTTCTTACTCCAGCAATTCTGCAATCACTATTCCTCCTCTCTAGAATACTCCTTCCACAGATCTTTGCATGGCTGCCTCCCCATCATTCAGGCCTCTGAGAGTTTCCTTTCCTCCACTCACTGTCTTCTTCACATAACCCCATTTCATTTCCTTCAGAACAACCACTTTTCACTGTTTGCAGTTAGCTCACTTCTTTGTTAACTTTTTATTGTTTGACTCCCTCCCTCCACCCCTTTAAATAAATATTTCCATAAGAAGAAGGATCTGGCTTGGCTTGTTCATAGCAGTACCTCCACAGCTTAGAAAGGTCCCTGGTCTATCACAGATGTTCAATAAAGTTTCTTGAATGAATAATTGAAGACATAATCCCTGCCTGAAAGATCATTCACTTTTAAAATTAAATTGAAAAGAAGGCAATCTGGGACTAGTGCTGGAATGGGTGTGAAAGAACCTTGGAACCTTCATCTCCTCAATGTTCCTTCTCCTCCCTTGATTGTTATGAGGTCCTCTGACAGCCTCCCTGCCTCCAGTCCTGCCTCCTCCAGCTCATTCTCTGCAATACAGTGGGTACTCCATACTATGCTCATGGCCCTTAAGGATAAAATATAAACTCATTAGCACCTATATAAGGTATCTTAAGTTCTGGTTTCAACTGAGCTCCATAGTTTTCATTTCTCACCCCCTCTTTAAACATGTCCCTCAGTCTTCTGAAAACCCAGCACTAGCAGATGACAATCATCCTCTGTTGGTCTTCCTTTTGTTGTAAACATGCTGTTCTCTCTACTTTCAATTCCATTCTCCCTGTCTTAACCTGGATAACCCTTGTTCCTTGTTCTAGGCTGAGCCCAGATGATTTCACTTCTAGAAAATCTTTGCTGTTTCCTCACTACTCCTCCTCTTTTCTTTAAAACTCCTAGTACTCACCTCCATCCCCATTCCAGGACTCAACCTACCTCTTATTTTATTATTATTTTTTTTTTTTTTGCCTTTTTGTGGCTCAGTTTTAACCACCAGACCGGAAACTACAGGAGGCAATTTGATTTATCTGATTTATCACAGTATCATCCATGTCTAACATAATATACAATAAATATTTACAGATTAAGTATTTGAATCAATGAATGGGTAAAATAAAATTCTCAAGAGCAAAGAAGGAGAAAGCACTGAGAAGAGAAGAGGCCAACTCGGGGAGGCTTCCAGAAACAAGCAGAGCAGGTCTCTAGTCATTTATAAGTGATTCCAAATTCAACAGCTCTAAAAACCAAAAGTCTTTCTTCTCCCATTAGGTGGTAAAGCCTCACTTGGCCTACTGTGTCTTTACTTATTCCACTTAGTGTGAGTACTCATACGTTTTGCTGCAAAACATTAGTACCCATTATTGCAAGGTTGCCCTGGAGTACATTAAATCTATTTTGTAATATACTGCATATGAATTCTGTTACCTTTCTTAAATCCAAAAAGATTCTGGACTCCAAAACATGTCTGGCCCCAAGGGTTTCACATAAAGAATGATGGCCCAGGATTTGAACTGTCTTAGAGGATGAATAGGATCCCAATAGGCAGAACTGTACAGGAACAGAATGTGCAAGGGCAAAGCAGCCAGTGTAACAAAGAGTGGTAATTTGTCTGAAGTCATCAGAAGGCAGAATCTTTAAATTTATAGGAAATTCATGCTGGAAAGATGTTTTGAGTCTGATGGGGTCTTGAACATCAGGCTAAGGAGGCTAAACTTTATTCTGTAGGTGATGGGAAACTAGCAAATTGATTTTCTTTTTCTTTTTGAGGCAGGGTCTTGCTCTGTTGCCCAGGCTGGAGTGCAGTGGCATGATCACGGCTCACTGCAGCCTTAACCTTTTGGGCTCATGTCATCCTCCTGCCTCAGCCTCCTGAGTAGCTGGGACTATGGGTGTTCGTCACCACTCCCGTTTACTTTCTTAAAATTTTTTTTTTGTAGAGATGAGGTTTTCCTGTGTTGCCCAAGCTAGTCTCAAACTCCTGGGCTCAAGCTGTCCTCCCACATGAGCCTCCCAAAGTGCTGGGATTACAGGTGTGAGCCACCACACCCAGCCAGCAAAGGATTTTTAACAGACAAATGAGAGCAGGTAAAGCAGATGTGATGAGTGGGAGGCAATCTGTACTTAGCTTCTTAGTTATGTGACATTTAATTGCTCTGAGCCTCAATTGCTTCATTTGAAAAGTGAGGATAATTTAAAATGAAAATCAAATGAAAAACGCATGTGAACATTTTTTCTAAAATGTAAAATTGTTTTAAGATATAAAGTGTAATTATTAACTGATAATGAAGACCGAAGAGTAGGGAGTGGGGCAGGGTTTAGGAGTTGAATGTTCCCTGTGCTGAGTTTGTGTGATATCTAAGAGGCAACGTTCAATAGCCAGGTGGCAATGTAGTTCTGGAAATAGGTAAGAGCCAGAGTGATAAGAATTGGCAGCTGTCTGCATAGAGGAATGAGTGGAGGATACAAGAGTCGATGCATTGCGCCTTAAGGTAACTGGGATTAGTCATAAAAAGGCCCCTCCTAAACATCAAAAAAGGATGAAGTGTCCCTTTTTTCATTTACATGAACTGTGACATTTGTGTTTCCAAATTTTAGTTTCTTTTGAGAGATGGATAAGGAAGTAATAACTTAAAAATATAAAATCTTTGAAAGGATATACTATGAAAAAGCTGGAACACTGAACAGGGCAAGCCCTTCATGCAGAGCATTTGTTGCTAAGTCATTTGCATTTTATTGAAAAAATGTATTACAGGAAGTCACTGGATAATAAAGACATTGTTGGAATTTGTATCTGTATTTTTTTTTCCCCTAAGTGAAAGTACTGAGGGTTTGGTTTGCTTCTGAACTCTCTTTTCTTTCAACTTCTTTTTAAATTTTTTCTTCCAAACTACATTTATAAGAACACATTGAAATTTAACAGATTGTGATAACTGGAAGGACTCTTACGTATCAAATCCCAGCCATTTTATAGATTGCGATCAAGGTCTGGAGATGGGGTGTAACTTGCCCATTATCACACCATTAGTCAGTATAAGAAAATGGTCTCATAGCCAGCTAAAGCCTTTTCCATTTACAACAGTGCCAGAATCTATTGTGCAGCTGGAGAGGAAAGCATGAGTTTGGATAAAAAGAAACAGATGATGTCAACCATCCTTTTCCCCAAACCAATGAGGAGACAGGTGTTTCCCCTTTTTTCCCTGTATCTTCCAGCCTCACCTGGCACATCGCATGACCACGCTTCTAATTGATTCTTTTCAGCCTAGTTGCTACTTTCTTCTGGACAGCTTCTCCATGTCCAGGTGCCCACCCCTCCCAGATCCAACACAACCACCTGATAGCAACAATGATGTTCTACAGGGGACATCTAGGAAAATCCTAGTGCATCTTCATCTCCTGCTATCAAAAGATGTATGCTTAGCAGTGACTCATTCTGTCCCACACTGCTCTGATGTGAATATTGGAGGCTCAGGGTTCCACATGCATGATGATAACAAGTTCAACCAGTGTCCCTGAGGATGGATACAGAGAGATTTGGGGTGTCTGGTAGGATGAATGAATGTATCTGTGAGAGACCCATCCTGGTGGGAGAGACTGGGCTGATCCTAATCAGGGGAGCACGTGACAGCTGGTGTGCAGTCAAGAAAGGCAAGTCTCAAAGATCTATGATAATGCAGGGAGGTGTAGCAAGATGGTGGAATAGAAGGCTCCACTGATCATCCCCCTCCTCTAACCCTGGCAAGGACACCAAGTTAACACCTATCTACAAAGAAACAACATCTTCTTAAGAACCAAAAATCAGGTGAGGACTCATAATACCTGGTTTTAATTTCATGCAGCTGAAAGTGGCAAAAAAAAAAAAAAAAACAGAAAAAACAGTTCTGAATCACCAATGCCACCCACCAGCAGCAACAGTATGGTGCTGAGAGCTTGTCTCTGGGCATTGAGGGAGGGAGAACACAGCAATTATGAGGAACTGAACTCAGTGCTATACTGTTAAAGCAGAAAGGAAAACAGAACCCAACTCAGCTGACATCCACCCATAGAGGGAACATTTAAATCAGCCCTAGCCAGATGGGAATTGCTGATCCTAGTGGTCCAAACTTGAGTGCCCACATACCTCGCCACTGAGGGCTACAGTGCTCTGTGTCTCCAAGTAAACTTGAAAGGCAGTCTAGGCCATAAGAACTGCAACTCTTAGGTGAGTCCTAGTGCTGAACTAGGCCCAGAGACAGTGGACTGGGGTGGACACATAACATACTGAGACACCAGCTTGAGCAGCCAAGGGAGTGCTGGCATCACCCCTCCCCTAACCCCAGGCCTCACAGTTCACAGCTCCAAAAGAGACCCCTTCCTTTTGCTTAAGGAGAGGAGAGGAAAGAATAGGGAGGTATTTGAGCTGCCACAGCAGGATAGGGCACCAAGTAGAGTTGTGAGGCCCTAGCTCCCAGGGGACATTTCTAAACACACCCTGGGCCAGAAGGGAACCCGGCTGCCCTGAAGAAAAGAACCCAGTCCTGCCAGCATTCATCACCTGCTAATTGAAGAGCCCTTGGACCCTGAATAACCAGCAGCAGTGATACCCAGGTACTACATCAAGGACTTTAGTTGAGCCTCTGAGATGTGCTGGCTTCAGGTGAGACTCAGCACATAATTAGCTGTGGTGGCTACATGGCAAAATTCCCTTTGTTTGAGAAAAACAGGAAAAGTAAAGGAGACTTTGTCTTGTACCTTAGGTACCATCATAGCCACAGGAGAGGTAGAATACTAACTGGGCTCTTGGGGTTCCCAATTCCAGGGCTTGACTTTCAGATGGCATTTCTGGACTTTCGTTGTGCCAGAGTGGAGCCCACTGCCCTGAATGCTGAGTCCCAGGCAGCATTCACAACAAGCTGACTTAGAACCCTTGGGCCTTAAGACAGCTTGGCTGGTAGTCTAGAAGTACTCCTCACAGCCTCGGGTGGCAGTGGCTAGAGGGAGAGGCTCTTCTGCCTTAGGAAAGGAGAGGGAAGAGTGGGAAGGACTGCATCTTATGTTTTTTTGTGTGCTAGCTCAGCCATAGTACAATAGAACACCAGGTAGACTTCTAAGATTTTTGACTCTACTCCCTGGCTCCTGGACAACACCTAGGTCCTGGGGGTCCTTGCCACCCTGAAGGAAAAGACACAGTCCTAGCTGGCTTTGCCACCTACTGACTGTAGAGCCCCAGGGCCTTAAGCAAACATACATAGTATGAAGGGAGTGGTTACAGCAGGCCCTGTGCAAGACCCAGCATTGTGCTGGCTTCAGTTCTGACCCAGCACAATCATAGTGGTGGTGGCCACAAGGGTGCTTGTGTCATTCTACCCCCAGCTTTAAGTGGCTTAGAACAGAGAGACGACTGTTTGTTCCAGAGAGAGTAAGGGAAGAGAACAACAATCTGTGCCTGGTAATCCAGAGAAATCTCCCAGATCTTGTCCAAGACCATCAAGGTGGTACCTCTACAAATCTGCAAGAATCACAGTGTTACTGCACTTGGGGTGCTCTCTAAAGCAGATAGAGCTTAGATCACAACACCCAAGTCCTTTCAAATATCTGGAAAGCCTTCCCAATAAGGACTACTACAAATAAGTCCAGGCAGTGAGGACACCAATAAATACCTAAGCCTTCAATGCCCAAATACTGAAGAACATCTACTAGCATCAACAACATACAGGAAAACATGGCATCACCAAATGAACTAAATAAGACACTAAGGACCAATCTGAGAGAAACAGAGATATGTGACCTTTCAGACAGAGAATTCAAAATAGCTGTGTTGAGGAAACTCAGAGAAATTCAAGATAACACCGAGAAGAAATTCAGAATTCTATCAGGTAAATGTAACAAAGACATTGAAATAATTATAATGAATCAAGCAGAAATTCTGGAGCTGAAAAATAAAATTGGCATACTGAAGAATGCACCAGAGTCCTTTAATAGCAGAATTAATCAAGCAGAATAAAGAATTAGTGAGCCTAAAGACAGGCTAATTGAAAATACACAGTCAGAGGAGACAAAAGAAAAAAAGAATAAAAAACAATGAAGCACACCTACATGATCTTGAAAATGGCCAATCTAAGAGCTATTGGCCTTAAAGAGGAGGTAGAGAAAGAGATAAGGGTAGAAAGTTTATTCAAAGGGATAATAACAGAGAACTTCCCAAACCTACAGAAAGATATAAATATCAAAGTACAAGAAGGTTATAGAACACCAAGCAGATTTAACCCCAAAAAAGACTACCTTAAGGAATTTAATAATCAAATTCTCAAAGGTCAAGGATAAAGAAAAGATTCTAAAAACAGCAAGAGAAAAGAAACAAATAACATACAATGGAGGTCCAATACGTCTGGCAGCAGACTTTTCAGGGGAAACCTTACAGGCCAGGAGAGAGTGACATGACATATTTAAAGAGCTGAAGGAAAAAAAATTCATCCTAGAATAGTATGTCCAGTAAAAATACCCTGCAAACATGAAGGCGAAATACTTTCCCAGATAAACAAAAGCTGAGGGATTTCATTAATACTAGACTTGTCCTACAAATGTTAAAGTTATTTCTTGTAGGACAGGTCAGAAATAAAAGGACATTAATGAGCAATAAATAATCACCTGGAGGTACAAAACTCACTGGTAATGGTAGGTACACAGAAAAACACAGAATATTATAACACTGTAACCATGGTGTGTAAACTACTCTTATTCTAAGTAGACTAAACAATGAACCAATCAAAAATAATAACTACAGCAATTATCTAAGACATAATATAATAAGATATAATTATACATAACAAAAAGCTAAAAAGCAGGGGGACAAAGTTAAGGTATAGAGTTTTTATTAGTTTTATTTTTGCTTGTTTGTTTATGCAAATAGTGTCATTATCAGGTTAAAAGAATAGGTTATAGGATAGTATTTGCAAGCCTCATGGTAACCTCAAAGCAGTAAACAGAATGGATACACAAAAAATATAAAGCAAAAAAACTAAATCATACCACCAGAGAAAATCACCTTCACTAGAGGAAGACAGGAAGGAAAGAAGGAAGGAAGAGAAGATTACTAAATAATTAGAAAACAAATAACAAAATGGTAGGAGTAAGTCCTTACTTATCAATAATATATTGAATGTAAATGAACTAAACTCGCCCATCAAAAGACAGACTGAATGGATGAAAAAACAAGACCTATTAATTTGTTGCCTACAAGAAACACACTTTCCCTATAAAGACACACATAGACTGAAAATAAAGGAATGGGAAAAGATATTCCATGCCAATGGAAACCAGAAAAGAGCAGGAGTAGCTACATTTGTATCAGATAAAATAGATTTCAAGACAACACCTATGAGAACAGACAAAGACAGTCACTATATAATGATAAAGGAGTCAATTCAGCAAGAGGATATAACAATTTTGAATATATATGCACTCAACACTGGAGCACCGAGACATACAAAGGAAATATTATTAGAGCTAAAGAGAGAGCTAGGCTCCAATACAATAATAGCTGGAGACTTCAACACCCCATTTTCAGCATTGGAGAGATCTTCCATACAAAAAATCAACAAAGAAACGTCAGACTTAATCTGCTTTAAAGACCAAATGGATCCAATAGATATTTACAGAACATTTCATCCAACGGCTGCAGAATGCACAATCTTTTTCTCAGCACATGGATCATTCTCAAGGACAGAACATATGTTAGGTCATAAAACAAGCCTTAAAACATTCAAAAAATTGAAATAAGGTCAAGTGTCTCCTCTAACCACAATGGAATAAAGCTGCAAATTAATAACAAGAGGAACTTTTGAAACTATACAAATACATGGAAATTAAACAATATGCTCCTGAATGACCAGTGGGTCAATAAATTAAGAAGAAAATTGAAACTTTGCTTGAAAAAAATGATAATAGAAACACAACATATCAAAACCAATGGGATACAGCAAAACCAGTACGAAGAGGGAAGTGTATAGCTCTAAGTACCTATATCAGAAAAGAGGAAAAACTTCAAATAAACAATCTAATGATGCATCTTAAGGAACTAGAAAAGCAACAGCAAACCAAACCCAAAACTAGTAGAAGAAAAGAAATATAAAACTCAGAGCAGAAATAAATGAAATTGAAATAAAAAACCAAAAAAGTTATTTTTTAAAGTTAAACAAAATTGATAAACCTTTAGCAAGACTAAGAAAAAAAGAAAATATCCAAATAAATAAAATCAGAAATGAAAAAGGGGACATTACAACTGATACTGCAGAAATTCAAAAGACCATTAGTGGCAACTATGAGCAACTATATGCCAATAAATTGGAAAATCTAGAAGAAATGGTCAAATTCCTAGACACATACAATCTATCAAGATTGAACCAGGAAGAAATCCAAAACCTGAACAGACAAATAACATTGAGGCTGTAATAAAAAGTGTCCCAATAAAGAAAAGCCCAGGACCTGTTCACTTCACTGCTGAATTCTACCAGACATTTGAAGAAGAACTAATACAAATCCTATTCAAATTATTCTGAAAAATAGAAGAGAAGGGAATACTTCCAAACTCATTCTATGAGGCTAATATTACCCCGATACCAAAAGCAGACGAATGTACATAAAAAATATAGGACAATATTCCTGAAAATATTGATGCAAAAATCCTCAACAAAATACGAGCAAACCAAATTCAACAACATATTAGAAAGATCATTCATCATGACCAAGTGGGATCCATCCCTGAGATGCAAGGATGGTTCAACATACACAAATCAATCAATGTGGTACTCATATAAACAGAATGAAGGATAAAAACCTTATGATCATTTCAACTGACACTGAAAAAGTATTTGATAAAATTCAACATTGCTTTATGATAAAAACCCTCAAAAAACTGTGGATAGAAGGAACATAACTCAACATAATAAGAGCCATATATGACAGACACACAGCCAGTATCATATTGAATGAGAAAAACTGAAAGCCTTTCCTCTAAGATCTGGAACATGTCAAGGATGCCCATTGTCATCACTGTTATTCAATATAGTACTGCAAGTCCTAGCTAGAGCAATTAGGCAAGAGAAAGATATAAAGAACATCCAAATTGGAAAGAAATATGTCAAAGTATCTTTGTTTGCTGTTGATATGATATTATATTTGGAAAAATCCAAACATTCCACAAGAAAACTATTAGAACTGACAAATTTAGTAAAGTTGCAGGATACAAAATCAACATGTAAAAATCAATAGCATTTCTATATGACAATAGTGAACAATGTAAAAAAGAAATAAAAAGTAATCCCATTTACAATAACCACACATAAAATTAAATACCTAGGCATTAACTTCAAAAAGTGAAAGATCTCTAAAATGAAAACTATAAGTCACTGACTAAAGTAATTGAAGAGGACACCATAAAATGGAAAAATATTCCATGTTTCATAGATTGGAAGAATCAATATTGTTTAAATATCTGTGCTACCCAAAGCAAGCTACAGATTTAATGCAGTCTCTATCAAAATGCCAATGACATTCTTCATATAAATAGAAAAAAAATCCTAAAATTTATATGAAATCACAAAAGACCTAAAATAGACAAAGCTATCCTAAGCAAAAAGAACAAAAGTGGATGAATCACATTACCTGGCCTCAAATTATACTACAGAGCTATAGTAATCAAAACAGCATGGAATCTGCATAAAAACAGACACATAGACTGATGGAACAGAATACAGAACCCAGAAGCAAATCTATCACCTACAGTGAACTCATTTTTGACAAAGGTGCCAAGAACATACACTGAGGAAAAGACAGTCTCCTCAATAAATAGTGCTGGGAAAACTGAATATCCATATGAAGAAGAATGAAACTAGACCCTTATCTCTCACCATATAAAAAAAATCAAATAAAAATGGGTTAAAGGCTTAAATCTAAGACCTCCAACTATGAAGTCTCTACAACAAAACAGCATAGAAAATCTCTAGGACATTGATGTGGGCAAAAATTTCTTGAGAAATACCCCAGGCAACCAAAGCAAAAATGCACAAATGAAATAACATCAAGTTAAAAAGCTTCTGCATAGCAAAGGATAAAATCAGCAAATTAAAGAGACAATCCAAAGAATGGGAGGGAATATTTGCAAACTACCCATCTGACAAGGGGTTAATCACCAGAATATATAAGGAGCCTAAACAACTCTACAGGGAAAAAAATCTAATAACCTGATAAAAAAAAATGGGCAGAAGATTTGAATAGACGTTTCTCAAAAGAAGAAATACAAATGGCAAACAGACATATGAAAATGTGCTCAACATTGATAATCAGAGAAATGAAAATCAAAACTACACTGAGATATCATCTCACCCCAGTTAAAATGGCTTATATACAAAAGACAGACAATAACAAATGCTGGTGAGGTTATGGAGAAAAAGAAACCCTTGTATACTGTTGGTGAGAATGTAAATTAGTACAACCACTATGGATAACAGTTTGAAGGTTCCTCAAAAAACCAAAAATTGAGCTACTATATGATCCAGCAATCCCATTGCTGGGTATATACCCAAAAGAAAGTGAATCAGTATTTTGAAGACATACCTGCATTCCTATGTTTATTGCAGCACTGTTTACAATAGCTAAGATTTGGAAGCAACCTAACTGTCCATCAACAGATGAATGGATAAGGAAAATGTGGTACATATACATAATGAAGTACTATTCAACCATAAAAAAGAATGAGATCTAGTCATTTGCAAAAATATAGATGGAACTGGAGATCATGATATTAAGTGAAATAAGTCAGGCACCAGAAAGACTAACACTGCATGTTCTTACTTATTTGTGGGATCTAAAAATCAAATCAATTTAACTCATTGTCATAGAGAGTAGATTGATGGTTGCCAGAGGTTGTGAAGGGTAGTAGGAGGCTGGGAGGGAGGTAGGGATGGTTAATGGGTATGACAAATAGAAAAAATGAGTAAGACCCACTATCTGGTAGCACAAGAGGGTGACTATAGTAAATAATAATTTAATTGTACATGTTAAAATAACTTAAAGAATGTAATTGGACTGCTTTTAACTCAAAGGATAAATGCTTGAGGGGATGGATTTGAAAAAGATCCATGATTAAATGCCACTGCAAGGAAAGAGAGGACACAGCCTACACAAATATAGCAGGATGGGCAAAACTTCTGGAGTTACCTTCAATGTGGTCACCAAAGAAACATTTAGAACATATTTAGGCAGAACTCTGGAGAAACACAGTGAAGGTCTGGTTGAGTGGCCAAAAGAAGCCAGAGGAATGAGTAATTGAAGGATGGCTCAGAAATAGAGCTCCTGACTTTAATTTGCTATCTTGAGGGTTTCTCTTTCATGGGCCTTGACCTATTCTTAATGCAGCAAACCATGTGGAAGAAAGTGAACAGAAACCTATTGTATTAGTCAGGGTTCTCTAGAGGGACAGAACTAATAGGATAGATGTATACATAAAGGTCCCACAATAGGCCATCTATAAGCTGAGGAGCAAGGAAGCCAGTCCAAATCCCAAAACTGAAGAACTTGGAGTCCAATGTTCGAGACCAGGAGCATCCAGCATGGGAGAAAGATGTAGGCTGGGAGGCTAAGCCAGTCTAAACTTTTCATGTTCTGCCTACTTTTTATTCAGGCTTCACTGGCAGCTGATTAGATTGTGCCCACCCAGATTAAGGGTGGGTCTGCCTTTCCCAGCCCACTGACTCAAATGTTAATCTCCTTTGGCAACACTCTCACAGACACACCCAGGATCAATATTTGGCAACCTTCAATCTAATCAAATTGACACTGAGTATTAACCATCACACCTATCAATGTGTCTCTTTTTTCTCATCCAATCTCCTTTTCAAGCAATAATCAAAGAAAGTCTACCACAGATGCCTGGGGTGGATTGAGTTTACTCTTCAGGTTACACAGAAATCAGTGCTGAAACTAAGCCATTATTAGTATCATGCTTCCAACTGCTGGGCCAAGTAGAGCAGGCCCACTCTGCAACTATGTTCATTTCCACATATTATACACATGACCTCTGCCCCCACATACTTTTTACATATGCATATACATGTATTTGCAGGTCATATAATAAATCATTCATTCATTTACTTCATCAATATGTATTTAGTAGCCAAGTGCAGTGGCTCATACCTGTAAATCCCAGTGCCTGGAGAGGCTGAGGTGGGAGGATCACTTGAGCCCAGGAGTTTGCAACCAGACTGGGGAACATGGAGAGACCTTGTATTTACAAAAAATATAAAAAAAAAAAAAATACCCGGGCATGGTGGTGCACACCTATAGTCCTAGTTACTTGGGAGGCTGAGGGGAAAGGACCACTTGAGCCCAGGAATTCAAGGCTGCCATGAGCTATCATTACATGGCTGCACTCCAGCCTGGGCAACAGAGCAAGAGCAAGACTCTGTCTCAAAATGTATGTGTATATGTGTGTGTATATGTATGTGTGTGTGTATATATATATTTAGTGAAATATACTGGATGCTCAGAATACAAAAAAGAAGTCCTAGCTGAATATTTACTATGCTGTATTTCCGTCTTAAAGAAACTTAGAGGGTTTTTGTTGTTGTTTCTTTGTTGTTTTTTGTTTTTAATTGCCTTGATGGGCTAATGGAATTAAGCTCTTAATTACCTACTGCTCTTTATTTTTTTTAACTAAGAGTGTCCTTTGTCACTTTTCACAATTTCAGGTAGGCCCCTTACTTTGTCCAAAGTTGGTTTAGTTTTGCATTTTCCAAATTGCTTTGTCAGTGCTGTAATGAATTTTCCTTCCTTCATAGAAATATCAGTCTCTGTGAAACTTTCCCTGCTTTTGCCCATCTCAGTATTAATGACCTCAATATTATGTATCACTAGGAATTTCTTCCTCAATGCCCCATAAACACCCCAGATATCGCATTTCACTCACTTGATTGACACGTATTTGCTTCCATGTCAACTGTGAAAATTAATTTCCCTCTAAGCTTCAGTGCTTATTCCAGGGTTTGTCACACAGTGGGTCCTCAGTTAACTGTGGTCCTGAATAAATTTAATTAGGGACAAATGTGCTTGCTCTATTGAAGTCATTGCCTAATTCGAAAGAGCAAATCAGGTAGTCTTAGGGACAGACATATTGTGCCGGCTTGTTCATCACCTCAAAGTGTGAGAAGGTCCTGAGTCTCAGTATAAGAACCTCGAAGAGATGTAAGTCCTAGCAGCTATTAATGTTTTGAGCCTCAGTCTTAGTCATCATAGGAAGGACCCCAAATGAGCCCCAGACCAGAGTGAGTGGAATGGGAGGATGTTAATGAGTAGCCTGGATGAATTAGACAGGCCTGGTTTGCTTCATATTCGGCCTGATCCAGTTTCCATCATCTTAGAAAAATAGGACAAATATTTAGGCAATGTTGCAATCCAAATAAAACAAAAATGTTTTGTGATGTATGTGGGGTCAGCGAAGGAGCATATAGAGTGCATACCAAATGCCCATCTGGGGGATTGTTTGCGGGAGCAGCAAGATGTCTTGGAAGACTTGGCAAGAAGACAGCTAAGAGCCGTGTGCAGCCCATCCATGCACCACAATTCTGTTTCTCGGCTTATGTAACACAGTGGAAACAAGGTCCTCGCCTTCCTCACAGAGGAGAGCAAGGCTGAAAGGCATGAGTAGGAATCACTTTGGCACTACTTAGTATTCCTGCCACTCCTTACTGCTTCTAATAAAATCCACAAGCTGGCAGTTTGTTTACCATCTCACAAAAGGCGATCTCACCAGAGGAGAACAGTACATGGCCAACCTAACATTTCCTTTGCTTTAACTTGGTAAATGTTAGGAACCTGAAATGAATCAGAGAAGCAAGAGCTTAATTAGACACATATTGTTCCATCAACTCATTGTTTATTCAATGTGGTTCATTCAAATGCAGGGAGAAAAATACTGAAAGGCAACCAAACAAAAGCGATCCTCCCTCTCCTCTCCCTCATTCATTCCACTGAACTTTTACAGAAGCCATGAGTGAAACAGAAGAGGGGCGAGAAGTGTGTTTTCTTGACTGCAAGGAAATACACTGAGGTGTTTTCAACAGTAGAGTTGAGCAGTAGGCACATGGGGCTTTATTTTTTTTCTCCTAACTGTTATCCTTTGTGTTTTTTTAAAGATTTATTTATTGTGAGATGATATATGTACATAGATAAAGCGATTTAAACTTATACAGTATTTAGTGTTGTTGAAGGAATAACCACTACCCAGATCAAGAGGCCATCACCAGCATCTCAGAAGTTACCCTTCTGAATCACGATGGCTGTCTCTAAAAGCAGCAGCCCTCTGGCTCTCAGGGTCATAATTTCATCTTTACTGTTTTATCACTTTTCCATACCTCCTAGAACACCATGCTCTTTGTCTATTTTATTGTTTTTTGTTTTCATTTTTGTTTTTTGAAATGGAGTGTCACTCTGTCACCCAGGCTGGAGTACAGTGGCACGATCTCGGCTCACTGCAACCTCTGCCTCTCGGGTTCAAGTGATTCTCGTGCCTCAGTAGCTAGGATTATAGGTGTGCACCTCCATGCCTGGCCAAATTTTGTATTTTTTTTAATAGAGGTGGGGTTTCACCATGTTACCCAGGCTGGTCTCAAACTCCTGGCCTCAAGTGATCTGCCCACCTTGACCTCCCAAAGTGCTGGGATTACAGGCATGAGCCACCGTGCCTGGCCCTGTTTGTCAATTTTAAAGCAAGATTTGCTCTGTCCTTACTTTGTGGCCATGGGCAATTAACGTCTCTGGGCTTCAGTTTTATCATCTATAAAATGAGAAAGGGAGTTAATAATAGTACTTCCTTACAGGGTTGTTTTGAGAACTGTGTGGTGTGCGTGTATGTGTATGTGTGTGTACACATATATACCTGTACTGCTTAGCATGATGCTTGACACATACGTATGCAATATGTTAGCTATTTCATTTGTTACTGTTGTTGCACCAGATAACCTCAAAGATAACTTCAGATGCCCGTGTTCTGTATTTCCACAGAAGTAATGAGCAGAGCACAGATTTCTTTGACAAAGACTGTGGCCTCCATTCTGGTTGCTCCATTTATGAACTGCATAAGCATAGGCAAGTTCCAAGGCTTTCTGAGCCCCACTTCCCTCTTCTGTAAAAGGGGAGCAGTCATAGCTCTGCCAAACGGTGGCTAGAGGGACTGTGGGGTAAGCGATGTAAAAAGTGTAGCATGATCTTGGGATCCAAATGGCCTGGGTGGCCTCCTTGCTCCTCGGCAAGCTACTTAGTCCCTGTGAAAATCTGTTTCCTTTTGATAAAATAGGCCTAACGATACCTGCTAAAAATTAACAGGTAAAGCCCTTGGCACAGGGCCCAGTCTGTAGTAGGACCTCAAAGCCTTTCTTTCCTTTCTTGGCCTTTGTTCCCCTTTTGGTGAAATGGAGAAAGTAGTGTCAGTCTTTTTGAACTCATAAAATTGTTATAAAGATCAGATAAGACAATGGACATGAAATCACTTTTTAAATTGTAGTGGCATGACAATAAAAACTCAAGTTAGTACTAAGTTACCAGGGCAGGATTTATATTGCCCAGCTTTATCTGACAAATGAGTACGAATAGAAACAAACATTCAAGAGTCCCCTAAACAGTGTATTCACTCATTGATTTATTCAACAATTATTCAGTGAGCATATACTACATCAGAATTTTTGCTAGCAGGATTCTTTTAAAAAATTATTCTGATCTGGTTAAAAAGATAGTCTTATGTCAATAATTAGAGAAAGATCGATTTAAAAATAGGTAACAGAAGAAATTGGGGTTAAGGAAAAATAAAGACAGAAAAATTAAAGGAAGCCAAACATAAGAGTAACTCATGAGCACTAAGATATAATTCTATATACTGATAAAGATGGGCTAAATTTGCACTCATAGGAAACAATGCAAAGAGAAAGACAATCAATTACTGAGTGTTTTTCAAAGTGTCATCCACGGGTCCTGCATCACCATGATCATAGATGCCTGTTTCCGTCTTCTATCCCCTGGCCACCTGAAATTCCATGCCTGCTCATTGTGTCTGGGAACATTTTACAAAAGCTCTAGTGCCAATGTAAGGAGGTCCTGCTACTTGAAATTAAGGATGTAAGAAATGGTACCCATAGTAACACTTGGCAAAACTCTTTTAGAATATAATTTGGTAAATGTGGTAGAAGTGTTAGCAATTTTCAAGATTTTAAAATCATATTTTCTAAGAAAGTGATTCAATGAAAAACAAAACAAAAAGGCCAAAGGATAAAGATGGTCATTGCAGTTTTATTTATGACCGGTTAAAGTGAAAACAACCTAATTATGCAAAAATGGGAAAATAATGAAGTAAACTACAGAAGAGTCTTACTTTAAAAAAAAAAAAACAAAAAAAAAACAAAAAAAAACAGAGTTTTGCTCTTGTTGCCCAGGCTGCAGTGCAGTTGTGCGACCTCAGCTCACTGCAACCTCCACCTCCCGGGTTCAAGCAATTCTCCTGCCTCAGCCTCCCGAGTAGCTGGGATTACAGGCATGTGCCACCACTCCCGGCTAATTTTGTATTTTTAGTAGAGACAGGGTTTCTCCATGTTGGTCAGGCTGGTCTCGAACTCCTGACCTCAGGTGATCCGCCCGCCTCAGCCTCCCAAAGTGCTGGGATTACAGGTGTGGGTCACCACGCCCGGCCCGGAAGAGTCTTTCTATTAATTATTATAGAGACATAAAAATTATAATCATGACTGCCAGTTGGCTCAGTTTCTTTCATAAAATTTGGAAGGTAAAATTGAAAATGATTGTATGGATGTAAAATATAAAGACTAGAAAATAAAAATAAATATGATGTTTTATTATAGATGGATTACAGATGATTTTGCTTCTTATTTTAAAAATGTGTCTTTCAGTTTGGTTTGGTTTGGTTTGGGGGTGTGTGTGTGTGTGTGTGTGTGTGTGTATGTGTGCACATGCACTTTTCTCACCGAAAATAGGGCAAGTTTATCTCTATTATCATATATCATTAGAAGATTAAGAATAAAACTTTATTTCTAGTCATTTCTTTCTGGACAAGGTTAAAATGAAAGCAAGCAGTGAGGGAACTAGGTAAACCTTATAACATCACTGAGAGAACCAAGAAAGACCATGAAAATATAAATTCTGTTCAAGAGAGCCACAACTCTCAACTTCTCTTGGACATTTTTTAAAGCATGCTTTTTTTGGCAGCTGCATTTATCAGCATATGTGAAAATATTAACCAGTGTGCATTCTGTATTTTCAGAAATGTGACATGATAGCATCCCTTAAAGAAAGGGATGTGGCGGTGAACATCCATCAGTTTTCACTTGTTGGACTCCCTGAGGCATGACCCTGTGTCATGTCAACATTTTTTCCCTCCACCAGCAAAACTGGAAGATACAAAGAAAGATAGCACTGCAACATCATGTCATCATTACCTTCCTCTCCCTGTTCCCCAACCTCCTTCCCCTTGGTGCTGGCCAAAATGACAGGGGGAAAATTGTTGCTCATATTGCCTTTTTATTTCAGGGAAATAATGTCAAAGATAAACAATACTTACAGATTTAACCCAAATGTTAGTCATAAAATGATCTTCCAATCCTTGGATGTGTAATAAGGCACCTAGAGCCAAGTTAAGTCAACAGAAACCCCATCCAACTTTCTAAACCATTTTCATCTGAATGAGGCACAGCTCTCAGGATACTATGAGGGGTAACCCCACAAAACAAATCAAAGGGAGCATTTGCCTGGGTTTTATACTGCTAGATCCTAATCTGCATTTCTGCTATGACAAGAGAGCCTAGAGTTCTCTGGAGGATGGTATGGGTGGAGCGGGGACCCTTATTCGAGCTTCCTTTCCAGAAAGAATAAAGGATTTGCACTGGACTCCTCTTTTCAAGACCAACACCCTATTTGAAAGGCAAGTGAAGCTCTCTGTCTTGAACTACTGAAATATTTGACTTACTACTTGATAGTTATGTCTAATTGAGGATGGTGAAAGGAAAAGATACATACTGGGAACTGTGAGGTCTCAGTATTTCCAAACCTGGGGTGGACAAAAGGGTTTACAGAAACTGCAAAGCTTTGCTCAATTTTCTTGGGGCAGCAGCCTGAGCTGAAGTGACTGCCTTTTCCCTAATTAACGGGGCTGTTATAGCTCTTTTCCCACAAAGAGGTTTCCATTGGCCCAATTTGCTGCCACTCAGTATAAAATGTCCCCGTTGGTCAAAGTTCCCAAGAAGACATCCCGGAAGTAGTTGGCCTCCCTCCAGCCCAGTGATTTTTCCAATCAGCTGTGTCCAGGAACAGAGTTAGTATTTCTCAAAACACAATGGAAGACTTACAGTCATTTCTGTGGAAAACATTCCATCTAAACACTCTTTCATCCTAAGGAATATGGGTACATGCAATTTTGCGGCTCCACAAAATCTCCCTAAAACCTCTTTATTGTAGGCATGGTTCCATAGGTATAAAAGGATGCTTACAATTAGACTTCTGCTAGATGGGATTAAAAATTGGAAGGAAATTGGTGAGAAGTAACTGGTCAGTCCCATGTTGGAGAAAGCAAATAAA
The DNA here is from genome assembly GCF_000001405.40 of Homo sapiens. Lineage (NCBI taxonomy): Eukaryota > Metazoa > Chordata > Mammalia > Primates > Hominidae > Homo > Homo sapiens. Next base: position 108,212,736 of record NC_000009.12, read on the forward strand.
TGAAGGAGACTGATGCAGGCCCCCACATTTCCAAATGGAGAAAGGCAAGAAGGGGACACAGGATACACAGGAAGCTTTGTATTCGGAGCTTTTATTGTAATTATCAGAGTTCTGAGGCAGCAGTTTTACCAGAAATTAGGAAAGGAGATGACTTTTCCTCTATTTATAAAGCTGTGGTACCTGGCTACTGCCATACCTTGTACCTGGACAAGAAACAAGATCAAATTAAAAAACAGAAGCAAAAAAAGGTGACCTTTGGATCAATGCTTTAAACAAACACAAAGAACAAGTGACGATGAGATGGCTTAGGGCTTCAGCTCTTTTCCTGTCCCCTCTGACTACTGGAAAGAAACATGTCCACTCACCCTGCAGCCTGTGATGTGAGGAACCAGGTCAAGAGTAAGGGGAACCTGGGCCACTCATTCACCTTTGTTCAAGGATGAATGGGAAGCAAAGGTCCTCCATTCACCCATATACACGGTTGAATAAATCAATATTGGGAATGTTCCCAGTGAAATACAAATTGTAGGGATAACAATAAATAATTTAGTACTACAGAGGCAAAGAAAGTACACATACTTGAGAAAAAAAATGTTTTATATATAAAAAAGGAACTGCATCTACTTTGTACTGTCAATAAAATTCTAGAGAACTTGGGCTATAAAGTAAAAGATACAAGATGAGAAAATAATAAAACAGTCAAATACCTGTTCTAAATTTGGAAAAATTTGTCACCTACAGGAATCTCCCCCACTTAATTGCTTTCTCAGATGTGGGTTCAGAGTCAGGCATCAATAAATGGGAGCTGGATAAAATAAGAAAATTCTAGAAAAAAAGTAAAATGCAATCATAGCCTTAAAATTTGCTTTAGAAGCAGTAAAGGACAAAATCGAAATTGTGTGAATTCTGGGCTGTAATGTAGAAGAAAGAGGAAAAACATCTCTTGAAAAATGCAGAAGAAATAAAAGGGGAAGTGAGAGAAGAATGACGAAAGAAAAAATGGTACATCTATAGGACAAAAACAGTGACACTTCATTGGTGTTTCTGAATAAAACACTGGATCAAACAAAAGGGAATAAATACATAAAGTTATAATGAAAGAAATGAAGTCATCAGCATACTCAATGTGGAAAAAACATACACACTTCTGTTAAGGCAAAAACAAAGCCTGGGGAACATGGTGAGACCCCTTCTTTACAAAAAATGAAAAAAATTACCGAGGGTGGTGGTGCACACCTATAGTCCCACCTACTTGGGAAGCTGAAGTGGAAAGATTGTTTGAGCACAGGAGTTCAAGGCTGTAGTAAGCCGAGATCATGCCACTGCACTCAGCCTGGGCGACTTTGAGACCCCTGCCGGTTTTGAGACCCTGTCTCGATAAAATAAAAAATGTAAAAAGCAAGACAAAGATACACCTCTCTCAGCTTTTATTTTATTTTATTTTATTTAATCTCTCTCTCATTTCACTTGTTTCTTTTTATCCCTACATCCAAGTCCCAGTCCTCTCTCTCCATACAGATTTTTTTTTTTTAGCTTTATTAAGGGGGTAATTTATACACAGTAAAATTTACTGTTTTGAAATATACAAGTCGGCCAGATGCGGGGCCTCACACCTGTAATCCCAGCACTTTGGAAGGACGAGGCGGGCGGACCACGAGTTCAGGAAATCGAGATTATCCTGGCAAACACGGTGAAACCCCGTCTCTACTAAAAAACATACAAAAAATTAGCCAGGCGTGGTGGCAGGCGCCTGTAGTCCCAGCTACTCGGGAGGCTGAGGCAGGAGAATGGCATGAACCCAGGAGGAGGAGCTTGCAGTGAGCCGAGATCATGCCGCTGCACTCCAGCCTGGGCGACAGAGTGAGACTCCGTCTCAGAAGAAAAAAAAAAAAAGAAAAAAAAGAAATATACAAGTCAATGGGTTTCGACAAATGCACACAGTCATGTGGCCACTAACAAAATCAAAATATAGTACACCTCAATTACCCCCCAAATTCTCTTCTTCTCCTGTACAGCCAACTCATTCCCCTACTCTGGCTCCTGGAAGCTGCTGTTGTGCTTTTACTTGCTACCGATTAGCCTTTTCCAGATTTAATTTACATGGACTCATAGAGCATGTAGCATTTTGTGTCTACTGTCCTCCATTTAATAAGATGCGTTTGGGGTTGGCACAGGTTGCTGTATCAGTAATTAAGGCATCCCTTTTTGCTCTCCACCATGTTTGTGCTTCCTTGTTTCTTGGACAGCACCCCACTCTCTTTCCTTCTACGTCATGGCATTCACCCTGGGTTACAGGCAACCACCTCCTCATCGAGCCTACTGATCCCCTGCCCCCAACTCCCCACCCTTTCTGGTAAACCCCTGCCTTTCCTTTATCACGTAGCTCAAAAATCTCTCTCCTTATTGAGGCTCCCCAAATTCCCACACATGCCTTCTTCCATAAGCTTGTGCCCTGGGTTCCCTCTTTTACCGCAGTTATCATAAGTTGTTTCCATGCCAGTTTCTTTACCAGGCTGTGGCTGTGCTCTGTCCCTGAATCCCCCACTGTTGCACAGTAGATGAATGCAGCACGCCTTGCCCTGTGTGGCTGTTCCTGAATGTTCACCGTGACTTCTGAATGTGGCTTTGGACAGAAGTAGTCAGATGAAGAACTTGAGACCCAGAGATGGAGAATCTTGCTCAAGATCACACAGAAACCCAGATCATCATTCTTGCACATATAACCCAGGACATCTTCCAGGAGCATAACTTTATCTCATTTGTCCTGAAAGAGAATTGGGTGTTGGCCAGTAAGAGTTGAGAAGAAGCAGTGAAGGAGTAGAAGAAAAATGTCTTGGAGCACAGGCCTGAATAGGTCACCCTAGGTTTTGTTGGTGGTAAGAGGTAGTGAAGCATGTAGTCATGGATTAAACAGTTTTTCTCAACCAGGGTTTGGCAACAGAATTAAGCCCAATTGCCCTAAGGCATCCATTGTTAGCAGTGAACGAACTTCTCACCAGTGTATCTAGAATGCCCTAGACACAACCTTGGGAGAATGGAGATAATAGCTATTCAGATTATGTTCTCTCTGTTTTTTTTTTTTTTTTTTTTTTTTTTTTTTTTTTTTTTTAGGCAGGGTCTCACTCTATTGCCCAGGCTGAGTGCAGTGGCATGATCTCAGCTCACTGCATTCTTGACTTCCCAGGCTCAAGTGATCCTCCCACCTCAGCCTCCAGAGTAGCTGGGATTACAGGCAAGCACCACCACGCCCAGCTAATTTTTGTATTTTTTGTAGAGGTGGGTTTTTGCCACGTTGCCCAGGCTGGTCTCGAACTCCTGGCCTCAAGTATTCAGGCCGCCTCGACCTCCCAATGTGCTCAGATTACAAGCCACCGTGCCTGGCCTCAAATTATTTTCTTTATTTTGTGGTTCTAATGAGAAAGCCCAGTCAGGAGAAAGAGCCTAGGGGGATGAGTTAATAACAGAACAAAAATAATGCATCAAAAAAGCCAGGAACCTATATCTAGGACACCCTGGTTTGAGGCCCAGTTTTAATATTCTATGACATTAACTTATCTGAGCCTCAATTTCCTCATCTATTAAATCTGATAATTACCACTACTGACCTCACAAGGTGTGTTCCAAATGAGATAACATTTCTGAAAGTGGTTTGTAATCTGTCCCATATGGTTCAGATATAAGCATTGTCCATGAACTAGAAGGAATCTCAATGATTAGGCCAACAGCCAACTCCCAAATAACTCTTTTAATCAGGAAAATTTCACACACCTTCTGATTTCTTCCCTCCAACCTTACAACTCCTACAACACTTCCACGTCTGAATACATATTTCTGCCTTAAACCAAATACTGAGAGATGACAGATTTACCTTCTTCCTTGTTCAGGGAAGCAATGAAAATGGGGAAAGAGAGCTTATTTGCTTATCTTGGGAGGTGTAGCCTGTTAATGAGCAGTTACTTTGTCAAAGGCAGAGAGGGCATTGTACATTGGAAAGGTTAACCACAAAAGGCAAGGCCACCAGATAGAGTTGAAAGGTTGTGTCCTCCACAAGGGTACTCAGCCAAGACAGTGAGAGGGCACTGAAAACCAGCCCGTGTTCCTCTTGCCAAGCCATATGCTCTAACTTAGGGCCACATGCTTTCAGAGGAAGGGAAAAAGAGTTGCCTTTTTCTCTGGACAAAGGTGCCACCTGCTACCAAGACTTATCCTTAAGGTGGTGTGGCCCACTCAGTGGCTGGAGGGCGGGAGGCAGGGAACACACATTATTTTATTTTACAAAAATGGGTAATGGCTCCGACGAAAGCCATAAATCAGGGCTGGGCATGGTGGCTCATGCCTGTAATCCCAACACTTTAGCAAGCTGAAGCAAGAGGATTGCTTGAGGCCAGGAGTTTGAGACCAGCCTGGACAACATAGCAAGATCCCATCTCTAAATAAATATATAAATAAATAAAAAGACATAAATCTGCGGGAAAGGGAGAGAGAAAGTTGAACAGAGACTTTAACAGTATTCCCTGGCTTCCAGTTGGTAGCTCAAAATCAGCATGGTGAAATTTTTACACCACGGAAATAGGCAAAGGCTATAGATCAGGGGTCCCCTTTGGAGGAGGGGGTTGTTACCCTTTGGAGAGGCAGTTGTTAAATATTTGCCACTACTGAATTAAAAAGCAGGCTCTAAGAGGAAGATGAGAACTAAAATGTATAAAGCGCCTTTGGTGTGATCCCTGACACTCATGAAACCTTGTGATACAGCTATTATTACCTGGCATTATAGAGCAAGTAGCTGAAAGTTTTAGAGAAGTTAAATTATTATCTCAAGGTCCCACCCAGTTAGAAAGAGGCAGAACTTGGACTCAAATTCAGCTTTTTCTGGCTGACTCTGAAGCCCATGGTCTTTTCACCACACTATGTGGTTTTGCTAAAACCCCAAGCCCATGATTCTGAGATGGCTCACCGACAGCACTTGCTTATCACATTAATTCTCCTTAGCATTTTTATTTCCCCCAGTGACATTCAGGCATTTTAAAGGCCACTGCGGCACTTCCAGCACATTCATCAGATTTGCTCCCATGGCTCCAACGTCAGCCTCCCCATTAAGATTCATCTTCAAAGAAGCCATCTGAGAGTCAACCAAGTTGGAGTTCAGTAACCACTCTGCGCTTTCTGACATTGGGAAGATATATTACCGTACTCCGGTGACTGCAACGTTTAGAACAGCTTTGGAAGAGTATTGTATCAATTATATTGTCCCTGTGGGAGCCCTATTAACATTAAAATGTCTTATAAGATGAGCTAAACACTTGCACAAAGAAAACCTTTCATATGAGGGCTTCTTCAAATTTATAGTTGTTAAAGCAAAAAAAATCGCCTTGCCTCTCCCTTTGCACATGACACAAGGATAGATGACTCTTCTTAGACTATTTTAAGCAAATTATCTTAGAAAATGAGAGCCCATCTCAGAATATATTATTTCAGGCCAAAGGCAACACCGTGTAGGAGGAGACAGCACGGATTAAAATCACACACATTATCTGGGTTCCGATTCTGGCTCTCCTACTTAGGATATCAATAAAATGATAGCAATTGTAGTAATAATTTAACAAGCAAAAATTAGGGACCAGGGGCTTTCTATAGTCCAAGTTGTTTAATTTCCACAATAATAGTGCAATGGGTATATTATTCTGACTTTAAGTATGGGGAAACCAAGGTTAAAAGAGGTTAAGTACAATTGCAACAAAAGCAAAAACTGACAAATGGGATCTAATTAGAGTAAAGAGCTTCTACACAGCAAAAGGAAACTATCAAGAGAGTGGACAGACAACCTACAGAATGGGAGAAAATTTTTGCAAAGTAGGCATCTGACAAAGGTCTAATATCCAGCATCTATAAGGAACTTAAACAAATGTACAAGGAAAAAAAAACAAACAATTCTATTAAAAAGTGGGCAAAGGACATGAACAGACACTTTCAAAAGAAAACATACATGTGGCCTACAATCATATGAAAAAGAGTTCAACATCACTGATCATTAGAGAAATGCGAATCAAAACCACAACAAGGTACTATCTCACACCAGTCAGAATGACTATTATTAAAAAGTCAAAAAAATAACAGATGCTGGCGAGGTTGTGGAGTAAAAGGGATGCTTTTACCCTGTTGGTGGGAGTGTAAATTAGTTCAGTCATTGTGGAACTATGTGTTCAATCAGTGTGAGGATTCTTCAAAGACCTAAAAACAAAAATACCATTTGACCCAGCAATCTCATTACTAGGTATGTACTCAAAGGAATATAAATCATTCTGTTATAAAGACACATACACGTGTATGTTCACTGCAGTACTACTACATAGCAAAGACATGGAATCAGCCTAAATGCCCATAAATAATAAACTGGATAAAGAAAATATGGTGCCTACATACGACAGAATACTATGCAGTCGTAAAAAAAGAATGAGATCATGTCCTTTGCAGGAACATGGGTGGAGCTGGAGGCCATTATCCTTAGCAAACTAATGCAGGAACAGAAAACCAAATACGGTATATTCTTATTTATAAGTGGGAGCTAAATGGTGAGAACACATGGACACATAGAGGGGAAAAACAGACACTGAGGCCTATTGGTGGGAGGAAGGAGAGGATCAGAAAAAATAACTGTTGGGTACTAGGCTTAGTATCTGGGTGATGAAATAATCTGTACAAGAAACACCTATGACACAAGTTTACCTATATTACAAACCTGCACATGTACCCCTAAACTTAACAGTTAAGTTAAAAAGTTTAAATTTAAATTTAAAAATGAGGCTAAGTAAATTCAACCAGCTCAGACAGGATGGTAGGCAGCTTCTGAAATGACCCTCAATGACTTCTGCTTCTTGGTATTCATACCTTTATGTAATTTGCTGCCCTTTTTTGTGGACTGGTCCTAGTGACTTTTAGCTAGTAAATAGAATACAGCAAAAGTGATGGGATGTAATTTCCAAGATTAGGTTATAAAAGACTATGACTTCCATCTCGCTTGTTCTCTCTCTTCCTCTCTCACTTGCTTGCTCACTCTGTTGGAGCCAGCTGCCAGGTTATGAGCTGTCTTATCAAGAGACCCATGTGGCAAGGAACCGAGGGTGGCCTCTGGCCAACAGCCCGTAAGGAACTAAATCCTGCCAACAACTACTGAGTGCTCTTGGAAGCAGATCTCACCTCCATTGAGCCTTGAGATGGCCATGATACCTGGGTTCCAGCGTTGTGAGAGGCCAGGGGACCCAGCTAAACTCTTCCCATATTTCTGACCCACAGAAAGTGTGAGATAATACATGTGTGTTCTTTTAAGCTGCTAAGTTATTGACTAATTTGTTACACAGCAATAGATAACTAATACAGGTGGTAAGACACAGAGATGAGGTTTCTAGCCAACTTTCCATCTTCAAAGCACAATCTCATTTTCTTGCCCTAAATTAATTCTTTACAAGCCATATGACCTTGGGCGAATTACTAGAACTCTGAAACCTCTTACCTACATTAATAAAATAGGAATGATGCCCACAGCACACTGATACAGACCAGCTTAAATGAGGCGATATATCTCATTTCATAAGAAGAGATAATGCCTTTGGCTGGCCTGCTGGTTGAAACAGGAAAGATGAGAAAACAGGAAAAGGTTGCCACAGGAGAATGTCTTAATAATGTCGGCTATATACAATGGTGAGTTTTGAAAGACGGTGTCCTGGGAAGCAAAAATTTGGAAGGCACAGTAGCTACATGACCATGGTCCAGGCATTCGACATCACTGATTTTATTCTCACTGGTAGAGCGATAAACATGCC